>NC_000011.10:49756969-50060000 GCF_000001405.40 Homo sapiens | reverse complement strand
AGAGTGGAGACTGCAGGTTGGGGAAGGGAATTTTGAAGAAAGTGAGAAAGGTTATACATGGTTCTTGAGAGTTGGGAACATGTGTTGACTAAAGCAATATACTAGGATTGCTGAGCAATATTGATGTGCCTTTTGAAGTTGGTGACACAAATTTATATAAATTAAATCTTCCCTATTTTGTGACTTTCTGAATGCTTTCAGGAAATAGGTCTGGAGAAGGCTTAGAATAAAATTCATCTAGTGTGGGAGAATTGCAGGGTGTATGTGGCAATACAGACAAGGGTATTGGAAATGTAAAAGGTTACAAATGTTTACAAACATAAATTGTTACAAAGATTGTTGCATATATGAATAAGTATTAAACATGTCTATCCCTCTTACTCAGCAATTCTATTGTAAACATGTGGGACTGTATCTGTTGGATTAATTCCTAAAAGCGGGATTGTTGGGCTTAGGCAGGAAGGTAAAGCAATGCTGCCTTTTTGGAGAGAAATTGATCAACATTTATCAATGAAACTGAAAAGTTAATTTGATTAGGTCTTCCTGCCTTGCTTCCTTTTGGTTGTTTGATTTTTTTTATTTTTATTTTTCCTTTTTCCATAAAGCTGAAGGCCGGGATAGCTGAAAAGAGTACAAGAGCTTATAGAAACTTCGTAGAGTTCTAATTTAGTAGATGTTTTCTACTTTGTAGATAACATTCATAGGTCACTGTAGCAATGGTTGTTTCAGTTGTTTTTCAGGAACTTGGGTCAGCTCCTGTCCATTTCAAACCAGTGAGACCACTGACCCTTGAATTGGACCTGCACAGTATTGGAAAGATGTCATTTTGACATCGGAGGCCAAACACCTCCACCTTCAGATTAGGCTAACGTTACAATTTTATGTACATATGTCCTACGAAATGCCCTTAACCCAGACTATGCTTGCTCAGAGCAAACCCATTACTTCATTTTCCCCCACTGCCAGTCACCTTTCTCCATGCTTTAGACCACCTCACTTCCCTAACCCATAAATATCCCTAAGCCTTATCTTTGGGGAGGCAGGTTTGAGAGCTGCTCCTCCTGCCTGCTTGCTTTGCAAATAAATATTTTCTCCTCGGCAAAACCCGAGTTGCAGTGATTGATTTACTGTAGGTGGGCAGAATGGACCTGGATCTGGCCAGTAATATTGGCATTAAAAATATTTATACAATTTACCCACAATTCCATATATTTTATTTTGTAATTATTCTATTTGTTTAGTTTTCCTTCCTGCTTTAGTTGGCAGGTGGCCACTGCCCCTTTTAGAATATAAGCTCCATGCTGCTGGGAGCCAGGTTCATCATATTCACCATGATAGTCCTGGCATTTAGCAAAGTGTTGTCTTTTATTAGCTAGGGGCTGAGTAATAAACACTTACTGAATGGTCAAAACGGTGGAAGTGTAATTCCAATTCAGATTGTTCTGACTGTAGTTCCCTTGATATTTTAGCATGCTACGTAGTATAGGTGTGGATAATGGACAGTGATTCTTCTCTCTTTGCTTTGAAGGGGGGAGACAAAAGAGAGGATGGATGTGAGAGGGCCTAGGACCTATGCCTAGAATGCAAGAGATGCTCAATAAGTGCTGTTGATTTTGTTGTTGTTCAGTCAGTGATTTCCTTATAAACACTGACCTTTCAATATCAGGTTCTGAAATATCCTAGTTTTCTTTCTTCTGGATAATTTGTGAATTCTCCCCAGAGACTAGAAGGACATTTGGTACTTTTAGAAGGAAGAATGTAAGTTATTTCCTTGTGAGACCAAAACTCTATTCATGGGGACTAATTAAATGATGGCATCAATGTTGTTCTCACCTGTGAACAAGGCTCATTCTGACACCACTTCAGCAAGAGATCCTGTGAGGGAGAATTTGTCTCCCTTGGAAAGGCAGAAAGCATACAGTACTAATAATCCATGTGTTCTCATTTCTACCTTATAAACAATAAGCCTTTGCAGTGGAGGGAGAAAGATTTTCTGAGACTGTGCTGATGAATATTCTTAGCAGAATGCAGAGCTAACAAGTCAGCTATCCCTTCTGTGAGGCTTTTCTCCTGAATTTTAGTGGCAGTGCTTTTTGACTTGTCAAAGCCTGAGGGAGTAAAAGTGGAAGGTGGTGGCTGTATTGGGAAGGGGACAGTCTGGGTGATGAGCCACCCAGGTTCCAGCTGTGTCTCTGTCACCTATTACTCATGTGACTTTAGATAAGCTGCATTTCATCTTTCTGAGTCTCAAAGCTGATTCACCAATCACTCATGTGACTTTAGATAAACTGCACTTAGTTTTTCTGAGTCTCAGATCCACCATTTACATGGAGGCCATTGAAAAAAGTTTGAAATGTCATAGGAGTCTTCAGCAAATAAAAGGGAAATAAGATGCTACTCTTGGAGGAAACTGGGTGAAGGGCTCTTGAGATTGACTCTATTAACTATTTTTGCATCTTCTTGTAAGCCTATATTATTTCAAAAGAAAAAGAAAAAGAAAATGAAATATAAACTTTTTCAGATATGCAAAAACCGAAAAAATTCATCACCAGCACACCTGCTCAAGAAATATTCAAAGAAGCGCTTCAGGCAGAGGCAAAAATAATACCTAAACAAAGGAATAAAGTGCACCAGAAATGATAAATATGTGGTTAAATACAAAAAAAAAAAAAAAAAAGGAAACGGATGATGGAACAAATTCCCAGCTACTTGTAAATAAATGACCCCCCTTTGGGTTTTTACCTAGTATGATTCTAAGAGACTTAGCTTAGGTGAGTTTCTGTAATCGATAGCAACTTCCCAGTCTGTGCTTTGCCTCAATGTAAAAAGCAATTTGAATCTCACCAGGAATTTAATAACATGAACTATTGAAATTCAGGATCATACACTTGGAGTTGGCCTTGAAGACATTTTAGGCCTTGAAGACATTTTAAACACTCTTCCAGGTACACCATTCCATGATGTTCAAATTTAAAAAAAAATCTGAAGACCTGTTAGTCTGTTGGTGTCCCCAGATCCAGTCACTGTAAGTTTTCTATAATGTGTTTTTATAATAAAATGCAAGAAAAAGGCAACCCAAATAAAAATGCAGTGGAATAAATTTACTAGAATTCTCATTATTTTCCACAAAATAATTTTATTTCTCATGGATAATTCAAACAGGAAACTTTCTTTCTTTATTAGTTTTTAACAAATATTTTATTTGACACTCCCACAAATTTAAATCACAGAGGTGAATCAGCTTATTATTTTTATTTCTGGGCATATAAATCCATTATTTGGCTACATTGTATACTACTCACACTAATTACATTTTCTCTACTCTTGTGTTCTGCATAAGGATCAGCATTAGAGCATTTTTCATATTTATAATTATACCCATATTATACTGTACCCATATTAATAGCCATATGAAAAATTTACTGCCTGGGATATTGAAGATGGTGTTAGAGACTCCATGTATTGAATGTTTATCTGTACAAACGCTTGATATAAATTGATTTTTATGCCTCTCTGCAGCCTCAGAGTGTTGCTGTACTCTTATCTTCATTTTACAGATAAGAACATTGAGTCTTGAGAAGTTGTTCATAGTAACACAGCCAATAAAATGGCAGAGGAGGGATTCAAACCCAGATGTGTTTAAGTGACAGTATGGTACCGTGAAACCCACAAGCTGGGGCAAGACTGCCTGGGTACCAGCCCCAGTTATGCCACTTATTAGTTATGCATTTCTTACTTTCTTCCTCTGAAAAATGAGGATAAAACCAGTAATCTACTTCATGGGAATGATGTGAAGATTAAACAAGCTGACCTACATAAGTGTTTGGTTAGTGCTTGGCAAAGGCTAAATTCTATGTAGGTGTTTCCTCTCATCACTGTTGTCTGTGTTTTTGGCCATAATGTTCTACCTTCAAAAAGTCCCCATCAGACTTGTCACTTGCAGGAGCTATATTTACCTTCTTGCAATGAAGTGTGGAGAGAGAAAAAGGTAGCAGTTTCATGATCGGTACAAGAGTTTTCTCTCCAGTGTTTCTATATATCTGGGTACCTCTTTCTTCTTCTGACACTTGATGTTTCTCCTTTAATTCTTGTCATGCTGAGCATTAAATCTGCAGCAAGTTGGAGGATTCAGCTACTTTAAGAAGACCTATGTTTCCAGGAAAAGGATAGGGTGGTGGAGAGGGTTAGTGACAGTTTCAAAATTTAAGATAGGCACAGGTATTACCAGAGGGCCAGGGGTTCTGTCTAGGTCCTGCTGTTGGCCACACAGAAAGCCAATTACTGAGACAATGAGTATTCCCCGGGGAAAAAGGCTTCAATTGGGTGTTGTAGCTGGAAGGTAGATTAGTCTCAAATCAATCTCCTCAATCAACTGAAATTAGGGGTTTATATAGCAGGGAGGAAACATAACTGTTAAAACAGGAGTTAGAGACAGGTAAGGAAGAGGAATTGGACAATAAGAAGTAGGTGGTCGGTTAGGAAAACAGGGAAGGCTAAGCAAATAATTATGATGAATATAGGGTCTGATAACTTATTTCCTGAATGCAGTGATTTGGTGAGTTTTAGTTTTTTGATAGTTTTTGGGATGTCCAAGGGTGAATGTTTTGAGGAGGGAATTCAGATAAGACAAATGTAAATTTTAAGTTTTAAGACCAGAAGGGCAATTTTTAAGTCTCTCCAAAAAACCCCAAAACTATCTATTGGACTATTAGGTCTATTTCACAGGCATTTCCTTAATATCGTCAGGGGAAAAAAGGGTGAGTAGGAATATTCTGTCATATAAAGTTATAATTGATAGCTGGTTAAGACAGGACACCTGTTCCTCTGCCCTTGTAGCTTCCCTTATGCAGTTATAGGCAGATAATCATCTACTAGTACCTTTCACTGATACTCCCCATTTTTTTTAATTCTGTTTTTTACTTTGAGTCCTCCCTGTAGATTGCAGGGGGACTAGTAGTCCTTAACTAGAAGGATTACACCAAGGTCAGAGAAAGCAAAACTCAGAAGGATGTAAAAATGTATAAAACAAGGGGGAGGAGAAAGCTAAGTTGTCTTCCTAGGCATGATGCTGTTCACAGTATGCAGATGCAATAAATGAGAAAGTAGAGAAATAGAGAATTTGGTAAGTCTCTAGCTGCAACCAAGTCAGTTTCTTCCAATCCTGCTTTAGTTTGTTTTATATCAATTGTATTACCATTGGAAAAACCGACAAAAAGTGTAACCAACTTCATTGCAAACTCCAAGAAGAAAGCTTTAATTTGAAGTATGGACTATACACACAGAGATTTCAAGAGATTTCAAGAGGTCCTAACTCTACATGGTATTCTCAAGTGCAATCTAATCTATGCTGAAAGTGATCAGAGATTTACTCCAGTTTGAAATGGAAAATAAATGTCTGTTAAATGTTCAATCCCAGCAGCCACAAAAATGCAAATTTAGATAATTAAGTTATTATTTTCATCTAATAACTGAGATATGTGGTGCCCAGTGATGCTAAAGTTAACAGACATTTTGTGGTCAGAAGATTAAATTTGTATAAGAGTTTCGGAACAGAAGAGGGTTAAGAGGGACAAAGGGTATATTAAAGGAAAACTTGCAATGTTTTTCCCCATGCAATTAGTTCTATTACTCATGTTTCTCTTTGTCTTTATACGCAATTCTGCATCTGAATTCTCAGTGACCTTGGAATCTATGGAAATACCACACAATATCACAGAATTTGTCATGCTGGGACTCTCACAGAACTCAGAGGTACAGAGAGTTCTCTTTGTGGTCTTTTATGTGGTCACAGTTTGTGGCAACATGCTCATTGTGGTCACTATCACCTCCAGCCCCACCCTGGCTTCCCCTGTGTATTTTTTCCTGGCCAACCTATCCTTTATTGACACCTTTTATTCTTTTTCTATGGCTCCTAAACTCATTGCTGACTCCTTGTATGAGGGGAGAACCATTTCTTATGAGTGCTGCATGGCTCAGCTCTTTGGAGCTCATTTTTTGGGAGGTGTTGAGATCATTCTGCTCACACTGATGGCCTATGACCACTATGTGGCCATCTGTAAGCCCCTGCACTGTACTACCATCATGACCAGGCATCTCTGTGCCATGCTGGTAGGGGTGGCTTGACTTGGGGGTTTCCTGCATTCATTGGTTCAGCTCCTCCTGGTCCTTTGGTTGCTCTTCTGTGGGCCCAATGTGATCAATCACTTTGTCTGTGACTTGTACCCTTTGCTGGGAGTTGGCTGCACCAACATGCATGTCATTGGTCTGCTGGTGGTTGCCAACAGTGGTTTAATCTGCCTGTTGAACTTCCTCATGCTGGCTGCCTCCTACATTGTCATCCTGTACTCCTTGAGGTCCCACAGTGCAGATGGGAGACGCAAAGCCCTCTCCACCTGTGGAGCCCACTTCATTGTTTTTGCCTTGTTCTTTGTGCCCTGTATATTTACTTATATGCTTCCATTTTCTATTTTATCTATAGACAAAAATATGGCATTATTTTACGGTATTCTGACACCTATGTTGAATCCGCTCATTTATACCCTGAGAAATGAAGAGGTAAAAAATGCCATGAGAAAGCTCTTTACATGGTAAGAAATTGCAAGTGGATAATGAGTGGTAAAGCAGGAAATAAAAATGACTTTATTTTTATAAGTGAAACAAACCAAGCCTTACTTTTTTGTATCATGTATAATTGTATTCCATCTTAAGCATTATTAGAAGAGATGGAGTTTTTCCATGTTGGCCAGGCTGGTCTCAAATTCCTGGCCTCAAGTGATCTGCCCACCTCGGCCTTCCAGAGTGCTGGGATTACAGGCATGAGCCACTGTGCCCAGCCTTCACTGACTTTTATTGTTTATTTAGTATTTTCACTTGAATTGCATAATTTGATTATAAAACAACTGTATGAAATATACATGGTATGAATGATTATTATTCCTATTTTAGAAATGAGGAAGCTCTGTTTACTGATGTGGTTAGTCAATTAATCAAGATTACCAATTTTTGAAATGCCTAAACCAAAGCTTAAAATGAGTTATTTTTGATCCATCATCCAGATCTTTAAGTAGCAATCCATGTTGACATCATTTGAGTCTGTGTGATAATTAATTGAGTTGTAGAAACATGAGGCAAAATGTTACTTAACACTTAGCCATATATAGTAGGCTCTTCTGCATCCACGCCTGGCTTCTATTTCTTCTCCTCACTCTGTGTGACATCAGCAATACCGCTGCTACACTATAGCAGAGAGGTTAGGAGTTTGGCTCTGGAGATAGAGCAATCTGAGTTTGAATCTTATTTTCTTTCTTTAATTAATTTTTTTTTTTGAGGAGGAGTCTTGCTCTGCCACCAAGGCTGGAGTGCAGTGGCGCGAACTTGGCTCACTGCAATCTCCGCCTCCCGGGCTCATGCCATTCTTCTGCCTCAGCCTCTGGAGTAGCTGGGAATACAGGCGTCCGCCACCGTGCCCAGCCAAAGTTTTGTATTTTTTAGTAGAGATGGGGTTTCACCATTCACAGGATGGTCTCGATCTCCTGACCTTGTGATCTGCCCACCTCAGCCTCCCAAAGTGCTGGGATTACAGACATGAGCCACTGCGCCCGGCCCTTTCTTTAATTTTTTTAAAAGTTCTGGGGTACGTGTGCAGGATGTTCAGGTTTGTTACATAGGTAAACATGTGCCATGGTGGTTTGCTGCACCTATCAACTCATCACCTAGATATTAAGCCCAGCATGCATTAGCTCTTTTCTCTAACGCTCTCCCTCCCCACCCTCCCCGATGGGCCACAGTGAGTGTTGACCCCTCCCTGTGCCCACGTGTTCCCATTGTTCAGCTCCCACATATAATTGAGAACATGCAGTTCTCAATTTGGTTTTCTGTTCCTGCTTTAATTTGCTGAGGATAATGGCTTCCAGCTCCATCCATGTTCCTGCAAAGGACATGATTTTATTCCTTTTTATGGCTACATAGTATTGAATCTTATTTTCTATGCTTGCTAGTGGCATGATCTTGAGAAAAGTGATGAGATTTCTAGAAACCTCTGATGCCTGTCTTTAAAATGAAAGTAAAGATATTTTAGATTCCAAGTATAAGTGAGGTCACGCAGTATTTGTCTATCTGTGTCTGACTTATTTCACTTCGCATAATGTCTTCCAGGTCCATATATCTTGCTGCAAATGACAAAACTTCTTTCTTTTTTAAGGTGTCACCTATATACCTCAATAAAGCTGGGGAAATAAAAGGTAAAGAGTATACATGTATCAAAGTGTTATTGTGACAATTAGATTAATCTCTCTAAAGTTCTTAATGCAGTTTCTGGCACATAGTGAACTCCCAACATGCTTATTTGATATTACCATGTCTACCTCTATCAGGGGAACCAGCCCTCAATATTTCAACGTACGTTCTTTTCTATTTTCCCTAAGTGTCGGCCAGTCTGAGAAATAAAGAGAAAGAGTACAAAGAGAGAAATTTTACAGCTGGGCCTCTGGGGGTGCCATCACATATAGGTAGGACTGTGATGGTGACCCCAAGCCACAAAACCAGCAAGTTTTTATTAGGGATTTCAAAAGGGGAGGGGTGTATGAATAGGGAGAGGGTCACAGAGATCACATGCTTCAAAGGGCAGTAAAAGATCACAAGCCAAAAGGTCAGAGCAAGATCATAAGGCAAGGGTGAAATTAGAATTACCAATGAGGTTCCATGTCCTGCTGGGCACACATTGTCTTGATAAACATCTTAACAGGAAACAGGGTTCGGGAGCAGACAACTGGTCTGACTAGAATTCACCAGGCTGGAATTTCCAACCCTAGTAAGCCTGAGGGCACTGCAGGAGACCAGGGCATATTTCATCCCTTATCTCAACCGCATAAGACAGACGATCCCAGAGCAGTTGTCTATAGGCCTACCCCTGGGAATCCATTCCTTCCCCAGGGTTATCAATTATTAACATTCCTTGCCAGGAAAAGAATTCAGCAATATTTCTCCTACTCCCACGTCCATTTATAGGCTCCCTGCAAGAAGAAAAATATGGCTTTATTCTGCCTGACCCCACAGGCAGTCAGACCTTATGTTTATCTTTCCTTGTTCCCTGAAAATCACTGTTATTCTGTTCTTTTTCAGGGTGCCCTGATTTCATATTGTTCATAACACCCATGTTGTACAATCAGATTTCATATTGTTCAAACACACATGTTTTACAAACAATTTGTACAGTTAACGCAATCATCACAGGGTCCTGAGGTGACATACATCCTCAGCTTATGAAGATGACGGGATTAAGAGATTAAAGTAAAGACAGGCATAGGAAATTATAAGAGTATTGACTGGGGAAGTGATAAATATCCATGAACTCTTCACAATTTATGTTCAGAGATTGCAGTAAAGACAGACATAAGAAATTATAAAAGTATTAATTTTGGGAACTAATAAATGTCCATGAAATCTTCACAATTTATGTTCTTCTGCTTTGGCTTCAGCTGGTTCCTCTGTTTGGGGTCCCTGACTTCCCGCAACAAACCTCAACCCTTTCCTAACCTTCTATAAAGAAATTGCTTTCTTTTGTTTTTCTATCTCTTTTAGGCTTGAAATACATGCGGCCTTTAGAGAAATTTTTTTGTTGTTGTTGAGTAATACAACATGGTGTTTCTTTTTATTTTACCTTAGCATTCTCATTTCAAACTCTGAAATCTAAAATGTAGGTCCATTTTCATTCCATCTTTTCCCTGGTTTTACAAACTCTCACCATATCCCTTCCAAAGCTTCACCTTTTAAGATTGTAGGCTCCCATAATTTATATTAAACTTACCCTCTGTTGGAAAAAATAGTCTGTAATTCCTCATGTTACAACATATTCACTTTTACACGAAGATAAAACAACCTATAAATTCATATGAAAATAAATTTCTCTGTTATGGGAAGAAATATTCAAAATTAATCTCCAAGAGGCCATCATCCTAACTAGCATGGGAACAGAAAATCAAAACCACACATTCTCACTTATAAATGGGAACTAAACACTGAATACACATGGCCACAAAGGAGGGAACAACAGACACCAAAGCCTACTAGAGGGTAGAGAGTGGAAGGAGGGTGAGGATTGAAAAACCAACTATTGGGTACTATGCCATGCTTATTACCTGGGTGATGAAATAATCTGTACAACAAACCCCCATGATACCTATTTAACAAACCTGCACATGTACCACTGAATCTAAAATAAAAGTTAAAAAAGTCACAAAAAGTGCAAAATTGGTCTCCAAGAAATTAGTTTCCACCACATTTGGGAGATTATCAGGAAAAGTTTCTTGTTTTATCCCCATAACTCCATGTCTAATAAAAATGACAATTGCAGAATTTTTGGCAAAGGAAATATTGCTTTCTTTCACTTTGACACATTTTGGGAAGCTAATTAATAATAGCTAGCTATAATTGAGACCTTGAATTCTGTACCCATTCATTTCTGCTGTTAGATGATAAAAATATTATTTAATTAACTAAGAAATATGAAATCATGATGAGGATTGCTAAAAAATAGCCTGTCTTTTGGCCAGCTTGCTACAATTTCATCTGAAAAGACTTTTTAGAAAAGCACACTTATTTTAATTGTAATTTAAAGTACCCTGATTTTTGGTACAGTTAAAATATCAAATAGCAGAAAGACTAATACTAGTGCACCCCTATTTTTATTGTCCAAATTATGATGAACAACATCCCCATTAACTTATAAATATTGCTTACTTTTGAAAAATTTCAACTCGCTAGATTAAATACATGGGTAAATATTCTGAGTAGTTTTGTAGTAATTAAAAATTATTACTAATCTTGTTAACAAAGATAGCTGTATCTTCTTTTTAGAGACCATGTAAAATGTCTTTCATTCATAATCCATATTTGTTTTAGCAAATTTAGAAAATAAGAAAATAAAGATGGTCAACATACATCCTCCAACACACTTGTATAAATCCACCTATTAGCCCATTACCTAGAGATAATCACTATCAACATTTTGATGGATATTCTTCCAGTCCTCAATCACCTTTTCTTCTCCTTTTCCTCCCCTTCTTTCTCTTCTTCCTCCCTTTTCTTCTCTATTTCCCTCTCCCTCTCTTTATATACAGTATATCATATGATAGGTGTATGACACAAATATATGTGATATGTAATATATGAGATAATATTTTATTTCCATACTGATTTGTTTAATCTGATTTTCATATTTCAATTTATGCCTGATATATATCTGCATAATGTAAATTTTTTCTGTGACTCAATATGGATGACTGTTTAGTATTTATTATATAGCTTTTCTAAATTTATTTAACGGAACCCCTGTTAATGAATTTAGATTGGTTCTAGTTTTTGCTATTATAAAGAGTACTGCAACAAATATTCTTTTAGCCAAATATTTTTACACATCTAAGAGTGCATCTTTAGGGAAAAACAAACAAACAAACCTAATAGAGTAGAGTCAGAGTTAGGAACAAAAGTAGAAAAGAACATTCTCATTCTAGAGGAATAAGCTCATTCATAAGTTAGAGGCATGAGAAGGCACAGTAGGGTGATCATCAATTAAGGGGTATTTCAGAATCAAGAGTAGAATCTTGGCATGTAAATGAATGACTTCACAATGTGATGAATGCGACAATAGTGTATGAGCCAGGTATAGTCAGGAGATGAGTGAAGGGTTTTCAACACTGAGTAGATCAAGGGGTATTACATGCAAGAGGCTATATTTCACTGGATGTTGAAGTATGAGTAAAAGGAGTCAGATGAATCAACTGAAAATGTGAGGAATGAAAAGGGAATTACAGTCACAGAATCAGCATATGCTTTCAGGACACAGTGTATTTGGCCTCAGTCCTGTAAGAAAATGTGAAGCCACTTGAAGGTTTTAACATAAAATTAGGTTCCTACTTTACATGACTATGAAAATAAATTCCAGATGAAAAAAATCCTAAACTCAAACATTTCTTTTTAAAAATTAATAGAAGATATTATTTGATAATATATTCATGATCTAGGCCAGAGAAGTCTTTCTGAAATGAGAGATAAAATTTGGATCAATAAATGGGGCCACATAATACATAAATTGCTTTTGAATGATAAGAAGACACCATAAACAAAGTCAGAAGACCAGTCACTGCTGGAGAGAAGATATTTGCAACATGTATAATAGCCAAAGAATCAGAATATAAAAAGCACTGCTAGAGTATAAGAAGAAAAAGTTAAACAACCAATATATAAATAGGTAAATGTATAAACAAAAAATTTACTGTTTATACAAACATTTTAAAGATGCCCAACTTTGGTGGTAATCAGGGAAATGCCAATTATAGTAATAATAAGAATCCACTTTCACATATTTCACATATTGGCAAAGACTAAAGCACTTGACAATATCAAGTGTGGCCAGAGATGGGAAATGGCAGCTCTGTTGTACACTGCTGGTGGCACAGCCAGCATGGAAAGCTCTTTGATGGTATTTGTTAAAATAAGTACTAACCATTTGATTCACTCGTAGGTATCTACTTAGAGAACAACTAATTTAGATATTCTTAATACCTAAGAATTTCATGAATGTGCATATGGAAACATGTACAAGGATTTTCACCACAGAATTGTTTGTAATAAAACATAGAAGTAATCAACTAGGGAATTGCTTAGGCAACCATGGCGTATGACGGATTACTGTATAGCAGTTACAAGAAATGAATTGTATTTTTATTTGTTAATACAGATCAATCTGAAAAACAATGTTGAGTGCAAAATAAGTTGAAAATGATGCATCTAGTATGATAACGTTAATAGAAAATAAACCACTAAATGTCAAAAATATTTTCTTTGTGTGTGCATGTGTTAGTACGTATTTGTGTGTGTGAAAGCAGAGAATAGTATTTTTTGTCATGAGAAGTAGAAGAGCAAAGGGGTCTTTTACTTCTACTTTTTATGTCCTAATTTAATAAGCACAATATATCAGTACATGACTTTGTGTAATTAAAAATGGAAAGAAACCTCATAAAACAGATATGTTAGACTTTAAAATAGTAGCTTATTGATTATAAGAAAATGACACTTTTTCTCTTCTTTGTATTTTTATGTATTTTTTAAACCTAAAAATCAGACAATTTAGATTTTTCTTTAGATGAGGTCAAAATAAAGATATTGTGCTGGTGCCCCTCCCCTGATCCCATGAATTCCCTGTTCCCTTACTTACACCGACAATTAATTTGATTTATCATCCTGTTCAAGGCCAGTCTTTTCACTGATCCCCATGACCGCCTCCCATCACATTACCTCCAAGACCTCTTCAGTTCTCAATTATTGCTTTTTTGTCATAATTTCAGCTTAATCTTTACCTTTGGTTAAGCCTCTGCCAACCTAAAAGGTGGAAACTACACTCTAGGGCTAAATTATTTATTTGTTCAGCTTACAAGTCAGCTTAGGCAAATAAACTTATCTAATGCTTAGTTTCCTCAACTATAAATGGACATTTTATTCCTTAGGTCATGCCTTTGTAAGAGGAAAGTGTGTAGGAAGATGACTGTTGGGCAGGTGACAGGTGCCTGATAAATGTTAGTTTCCTTCCTTGCTGGTGAGAAAAGTATAAAAGAAGAATAAGGGTTAGAAATAATTTAATCCTCTGAATTTTAAGTACTGTGGAAAACATACTGGTCAAGTAAAAAGAGAAGATCTGTGATTGAGATTTTTATTCTGCAACTGATCATTACACGGCCACTGGCAAACAACTTTAAAAAAATCATTTTTTTCACTTCTCTTGAACCCCTTTCCCTGAAGTGGAATTTTGTTTTAATGAACAATGGCAAAATGAATGCATACTCATATAAAAATATTTGCTATTTTTTATTTTGTTATTTATCAGAGGAAAGTAGCACTGTATAAGTTATGAGCTGTTCCTTTATGTGCAAAGTGGTGCAGGTGGAGAAAAAGACAGTTAATTTCAAAGAAGTTTTCTGATATGTGTGAATCAAAACATTTATGGAATTTAAATTACTGACAAGTCACTAGCTGGTTCTTTGCAGACACAACATTTTCAGCCTGATCTGTCTTTGAAAACTAGTTCACCTGCAGATTAGTTCAAAAAGTGATATACACAACAAAATTTATTTTAAAAAATGAAGGCCAAAGAGTTTCAAGAAGACAATTTCAATGTAAATATAAGATATTTAAGACAACTAATTTGTTTATTTATATTAAGTGGAAGCAGAATAGAATTTGGCAAAGCATGAGGGGTTTGGGTTGGACAGGCTTAGACCTGAATTCTATCTAAGCCAAATTTTAGCTACTTAAACTTGAACACTATAATTAACCTTTCTGTCTCTTGGTTTCCTAATTTATGAAATGGGAATATCAAGGTTATCATGTTTATTGAGTGTCAGTGAGAATTATTAACAAATAACAGAAAGAATATAAAGTACTTTGCACATAGTAGACACTCAAATAAATTAAAAATAGCCACCATAATTATAAATACAATATCATTGTTTTGTTGGTAGTGACAGTTTCCTGTGAGTAGGGTCACAATTATGTTTAATTAAATATTTTAGACAGAGGTAAATTCTATGTTTTGAGGCTTAAAAAGGTAAGCACAGAAATAACTGAAGGTCACAAATGGCTGCTTTCATGGTGTAGGTCAAAGGATACAAAATTTCAGTTAGATTGGAGGAATAAGTTCAAGAGATCTATTGTACAGTATGGTGACTATAGTAAATAACGAAATCTTGTATTCTTAAAAAATGCTAAGAGGGTAGATTTTAAGTGTTTTCACCATGAAAAGGATAACTATGTGAGGTAATGCATACGTTAATTAGCTTGATTTAACCATTCTGATGCAGGCAAACCCCAAAACTGGGGCTTTGACAAGCTGCATCATGGCTGGGGTTGTGACTCTTGCTTGGAACACAAGTCCTGCTGATGTACCTCATTTTCCCCTCAGAGATTATATACTCCTCCTTAATTTTAAAGAGTTGCAGGAGGGTGGAAGTCCTTGAGCTTGCAGTTCAACTAACTCTGAATTGTTAGCATAAGAACAACAGGTGTGGTTTATTACTGCACATACTTTTCCTTGTCCTTGTCATGCTACTTATCTGTGTGTTTGTTAAACAACAGCTTCAAATCTTCTTGAGGATCACAAGTGTAGGTCATGGTGTTCTTCTCTTGCACCTGCAGGGATTCATGAGAAAATAAGTTTAATGCTATACAGGTATACCCAACTAGTGACTCCCGGAAGTTTCACAGCAGCACGGGTATTTAACAACACCTGATAGGAGGCCTTTTATTTTGGTTGTAATAGATCCTTGGGGAAGACTCCCTTCTTTCCAGGTTTTTAGTAAGACTAAGTCTCCAGATTAAAGAGGGGACTTACTCTTTTCCTTGTGGGAAAGGGAAATGCTTTATTTCCATATTCTTGAAAGATCTTTCGAAACTGGCCTAAGTTGATAATATGAGTGAGCGTTCTAGGTGTCTCCTCATCAAACAGGAAATCTGAAGTTAAAAACGGCCTCCCACAGGTTATTTCAAATGGACTAAGTTTTAGGGTTCCTCTTGGAGCCCTCCTTATGCACAAGAGGGCTACGGATTGGAGAAAAACTTAGGCCTCCCAGGTTTCCCAACAGAGTTTTGCTAATGTCCTTTTAAAAACATGGTTGGCTCTTTCTACCTTACCAGAGGATTGAAGCCTCCAGGAGGAATGAAGATGACAGGTAATGCCCAAGGCTGAGGAAACCTGCGGGGTCACCTTACCTATGAAGAAGGGTCCATTACCACTTGGCAAGCTTTTTGATAATCCAAACCTTGGGATGAACTTCTTTAAGTAAGAATTTGGACCCTTCCAATACTTTTTCTGTCCTTGTGGGAAAAGTTTCTATCCATCTGGTGAAAATGGCTATAAGTACTAGCAAATATTGTAGTCCTCTGTAAGGCAGTCTGAGTGAAATCTATTTGCCAGTCTTCCCCAGGATATGTTCCTTGATGTTATAAAGGTTTGAGTAGGTGGCTTCCTGGGTTATTATGGGCACAGAGTTCACAGGTCCTGGTGACCCCTTTTTCAGTCTGGAATAGTCCCTTCTCCAAGAATATTTGGGAAACCAATTTGAAGAGAGAATTCCATCCCAAATGTGAGGAGTTATGGAAATGCTTAATTATTTTCCACTGCTTAGCCTTGGGGAGAAAGTTTGTTGCTTTCTAGCAACTACCATGAGGGACTCTTTTGTAAGCCTTTCTGTTATGTTCATTTAATTTCCTCAGGTGTACAGTATGATTCTGCTGACATGGGTGGAGTATCAGGCATTAGTGCAGTGGCCCGTGGTACTGATCTTCTTGTAGCAGTGGCCTTGGCTGCTCTGTCTGCCAGAGCATTTCCTCTAATACTAGACATGTCTCCCTTATTGTGTCCCCTGCAATGAATAACTGCTATTTCTTTTGGGAGCTGGACAGTATCTAAAAGTTCCAAGATCTCAGTGATGTTTTATGGGGGACCCCTTAGATGTTAGTAGTCCTCTTTCTTTCTACAAGGCAGCATGAGCATGGAGCATCAGGAATCCATATTTAGAATGAGTAAATATATTGACTCTTTTCCCAGTTGGAGGGTCCTTATTAAAACAATTAATTCCACTTTTTGAGGAGAAGTCTGGGGAGGTAAAACTTTGGCCTTAATAACTTCTTGTTGGCTAACCATAGCATTACCTGTCTTCTTTACTACTCCTTTATGAATAAAGCTACTCCTGTCTGTAGACCACAAAACATCAAAGCTATCAGGGGCTCATATTTAAGGTCAGACCTGCTAGAGTAGGTCTGTTCCATGGTTTTCACATAGGAGTGGATGAATTGGGGACCTGTTTCTTGGGATGTGAAGTCTGGGAACAGGGTAACAGAGTTTAAAACTTAATATACCTTAAGGGTAACATCTGGGGGTGTCAAGCAGAAGGGCCTGATATTTAAGTAACTGGCTTCCTATTAGCCATGGACGTCCTTTTGCCTCTAGAACCTCCTGTACTTGATGGGGAGGTCATAACATCTAAATGGTGCACCAAGGTAAACTTACTGTCTGTTTCTATCAATAGAGTGATGGTGGCCATAGCTTGCAAGAATCCTGGCCATCCAGCCACCATCTGTTCCAGCTGTTTAGAGAAGCCATTCATCTGGGATAATTCCTGAGCCTTGGATTTAGAACACCCAAAATTGTCCCTTGTTTTTCAGCCATATAGAGGGTGAAAGGTCCCAAAGCAGGGGCTGTTCCCATCTTTTCTTTTAAGGTTAGAAATGCCTGTTGGCAGGTTCCATCCCAGTTCAAAGGCTCATGATCATTCCCTTTTAGACCTTCATAGAGTGGTTTTGATATGAGCCCCAACTCAGGAATCCAAATCCAGCATAATCCAGTCATTCCCACAAAGGTTCTTAACTATTTCTTAGTCTGAAGGGGCTGGAGTGCCAGGATGGTCTCTTTCTGTTTCTGCGCTAGGGTCCTTGTCCCAGGAGGGAACATGTATCCCAAGTATTTAACATTTTGAATAGAAATCTGGGCCTTGTGCTTGGGGGGGATACACGATACCCTTGTTTTCTCCCAAAATTAAGGACCTGAATTGTATTTTTATTAGAGTATTTTCTAGTAGTGCTGGAAATTAATAGGTCATCTACATATTGTAAAATGGATCCATTTTTTAACTATAATTCCCTTAATTATTTTGTCAATGCATTCCCAAAGAGATGAGGACTGTCCCTATGACCTTGGAGGAAAGAGTCCAGGTAAACTGAGATATAGCATGAGGGTCTGGATCAGTCCATTCAAAAGCAGAAATATACTGGGACGTCTGGGTGTAAAGATATGTAAAATAAAGCATCATTTAAATCTAATACTGTGAACCAATTAGCATCTTCGGGGATTTGGTTCAATATTGTGTAAGGGTTAGGAACTATTGGGTAGGCAGTGACTAATACCTCATTAACTGTCCTCAGGGCTTAAATCTGTATTCCCCATTTTCCTTCTTTACACACAGGATGGGGGTATTACATGGGGACTGCCAGGGCTGTAGTAGTCCATACTTTAGAAACTTTGCTATCAGGGGTTGTATGCCCAGTTGTGCTTCAGGTCTCATGGATATTGTTTCCTCCATGGGTAACCAACATTGGGCTTCAAGGTAACCTGGACTGGGGGTACATTAACAGCTCTACCAGCAACTTCTATTTCCCAGAGGGGTCTACTTGAGAAGTAATATGCAGTGGAAGGGAGGTCTTTTATGTATCTGTGTGTATTAAGTTATTCACTTAGAGCCCTTCCTGGCCTATTGCCTTATCATAAGGCTCCTCAAATTGAACTGTGGCCTGTAATTGGGAATGTAAGTCCCTTCCCAGTAAAGACACAGGGCACTCAGGTTTAAAACCTATGGTCCTGCACATTGCAACCAAGGCAGTGGGTGAATCTCCTAATTCTTGGATATCAATCTCTGTTATGGTATAAGAGCAGGAAGACAACTGGCCCTGAGAAATGGGTCAGAACTCTTACCCAATAAGAACTCAGTCTTCTTACCTACCACATCAAGGGTTAGCCAAGGATCTCCTGTGGAGATGGCAAGATGTACAGTGGGAACCATGGAGGACTTCAGGCCCCTTCAATCCTCTGTTCTCTTAGCCATTGTGAGTGTGGGTAGCCGAGGCTTTCTTCAGAGCCTGAGGAAGTCCCTTTCCCAATGGCCCTCTTGCTTACAGAAAAAAACACTGGCCGAGGGGACAGCAAGTCAGAGACTTTCACCTGGGCATCCCAGAGGCTGATTTCATGACACTTTCTCAGAATGGGTAATCCTGAGGTGGCACAGAGTTTAAGGCAGCCACTAAGAATTGTGCTTTTTGGTTATTTCTTTTTTTTTTTATACTTTAAGTTTTAGGGTACATGTGCACAATGTGCAGGTTAGTTACATATGTATACACGTGCCATGATGGTGTGCTGTACCCATTAACTTGTCATTTAGCATTAGGTATATCTCCTAATGCTATCCCTCCCCCCTCCCCCCACCCAACAACAGTCCCCAGAGTGTGATGTTCCCCTTCCTGTGTCCTTGTGTTCTCAATGTTCAATTCCCACCTATGAGTGAGAACATGCAGTGTTTGGTTTTTTGTCCTTGCGATAGCTTACTGAGAATGATGATTTCCAATTTCACCCATGTCCCTACAAAGGACATGAACTCATCATTTTTGATGGCTGCATAGTATTCCATGGTGTATATGTGCCATATTTTCTTAATCCAGTCTATCATTGTTGGACATTTGGGTTGGTTCCAAGTCTTTGCTATTGTGAATAATGCCGCAATAAACATACGTGTGCATGTGTCTTTATAGCAGCATGATTTATAGTCCTTTGGGTATATACCCAGTAATGGGATGGCTGGGTCAAATGGTATTTCTAGTTCTAGATCCCTGAGGAATCGCCACACTGACTTCCACAATGGTTGAACTAGTTTACAGTCCCACCAACAGTGTAAAAGTGTTCCTATTTCTCCACATCCTCTCCAGCACCTATTGTTTCCTGACATTTTAATGATTGCCATTCTAACTGGTGTGACATGGTATCTCATTGTGGTTTTGATTTGCATGTCTCTGATGGCCAGTGATGGTGAGCATTTTTTCATGTGTTTTTTGGCTGCATAGATGTTTTATTTTGAGAAGTGTCTGTTCATGTCCTTCGCCCACTTTTTGATGGGGTTGTTTGTTTTTTTCTTGTAAATTTGTTTGAGTTCATTGTACATTCTGGATATTAGCCCTTTGTCAGATGAGTAGGTTGCGAAAATTTTCTCCCATTTTGTAGGTTGCCTGTTCACTCCGATGGTAGTTTCTTTTGCTGTGCAGAAGCTCTTTCATTTAATTAGATCCCATTTGTCAATTTTGGCTTCTGTTGCCATTGCTTTTGGTGTTTTAGACATGAAGTCCTTGCCCATGCCTATGTCCTGAATGGTAATGCCTAGGTTTTCTTCTAGGGTTTTTATGGTTTTAGGTCTAATGTTTAAGTCTTTAATCCATGTTGAATTAATAACTTTTTGGCTATTTCTTCAGATTTTCTTCACCTTCTCTGCCCTGTCCCTATTGTTGTAAACTCCAAAGGCCGTGTTTAAGAGTTGGTTCTTGGGTGTTTGAAGTCCCATTTCTGCCTTTTGTAGTTTCCTCCTAAGTTAAGGGCAGATCAAGTAATAAAATTTATACCTAGGAGAGCTTGCTCCTCCCAGGAGTCTGGGTCTGCATTAGTGTATTTCCTGAGTGCCTCAGCCATACTGTCCTGAAACAGAGCAGGATGTTCTTCCTTCCCCTGATTTACTTCTGTAACATCGTCATAACTGGCTTAACCATATCTTTTCCATACCTTCTATTAAATAAGTTACCATGTGATTTCTGCATTTGAAATCTTGGGAACCCCTCTGGCAACCCCACTGAGGTCCAAGTCTGGAACTGCATCTCCCTTCACATGATAAATGGCATGGCTTTTGTTTCAAGTAGCTACTCCATCTGCATATTCATGGGCAGTACCCAGAATCCTTTGTTTCTGTCTTGTGGTACAGCAGGTGGACAATAATATTTGCAAGTCTTGTCAAGATAAAGTATATGGTCAACTTAATAAATTCCTTTATAAACTTCCCTGGATCTTCCAAAAATGGGCCAAATTTCTCCTTGCATAAAGTCAAATCAGACGCAGAAAGAGGCACATGTACCCTAATTGTTCCCCTATTTCTGTCAGCTACCTCTTGCAATGGTCACGGGTTCAATTTTAGGGGCTGATATGGGGCATCACTCCTGGTGGTACTGGTTGGGCTTATTTCCTCAAGCAGCAGGGGTATAGGTTGGGCCTAACTGGCTAAGTGGGAGGGGAGTCTGATGACCCTAGGGTGAAATCCTGGGCTGGAAAACTAGTGGGACTCCCCTCAGAATCAGGGAACTGAGGAGGCTCCAAGGGACATGTGGGCCTCCTAGGGAGAGCAGCTAGGAGGGTATCATCTAGGAAGTGCATCTTCTTGGTATCTGGAAGTAACATGAGCCAGGCACATCCTACAGCTCTCCCTTAAGTGAGGGTTCTGGTAAAGGGCCGTAAACACCTGTACATAAGGGACCTCTGTCCATTTTCCTTCCTTTTCACAGAATAAGTCCAACTGTAAAATAGTATTATAAGGTAAATAACCATTTTTAGGCCAAATTTCTTGGTCTTCCAATTTGTATTGGACCCAAATCATATTGCAATAGGAAATGAATTTCTTTCCCTTGAAGCTGTCTAATTTGCATTTACTCCAATTGCCTAAAAGACACCCTAGTGATGAGTTCTTCGGGATGCTCACTATTGTCGCCGTGTCTAACGAGGATCCCTACAGAAGTTTTTCTAAGTCTAATGAGAGCCCAGTTATTTTCCCTTTTAAATTCTCACCTTTTTTTCTCAAGAAAGATCAGTGGGGAAGTTGTCACCAGTTCCTGCAAAGAGGGTGTAAGTACAGTTAGCAGGGTGTGATGAAAGTGAATTATGAGATATAAGTGATCAGTGGAGTGATGACTGTGTCCACTGGCAAATGGAATACAAGAAAAGGAGTGTTGTAATAAGCAAAGTACAGAAGGAGAGGTGAAAATAGGGTGACAGAAAAAAAAAATGAGTTCATCTCCTTTGCAGGGACATGAATGAAGCTGGAAACCATCATTCTCAGCAAACTAACACAGGAATGGACAACCAAACACTGCATGTTCTCACTCATAAGTAGGAGTTCAACAACGAGAACACATAGACACAGGGAGGGGAACATCACACACCGGGGCCTGTTGGGGGGTAGGGGGAAAGGGGAGGGAGAGCATTAGGAAAAATACCTAATGCATACGGGGCTTTAAACCTAGATGGCAGGTTGATGCGTGCAGCAAACCACCGTGGCACATGTATATACCTATGTAACAAAACTGCATGTTCTGCACATGTATCCCAGAACTTAAAGTAAAAAAAAATAAAAAATAAAAAATAAAGATAATTGAGAAAATATGGGATAGAAACCAGTAATTTGTGCCAATACAGTTCTTGGTTTTTTTTAACCCTGCCCCCAAAAAATAGGGTGACAGGATTCTCATAGTCTGAATTCCACAAAAAGGGAAGAAAGCATTTTGGTTGAGGAAAAAGAGGGACTAGAGGAGGTCGCTGAAAATGGTGGTATGACAAAGACCAAGATTGCCCCTAGGGTGGGACTCTAACCCACAACCCTAGAGGGAATGTAAAAAAATCCAGAGTGCCATGGGGAACCTCTCAAAATAACAAAAGAAACAAACAAGGCCCGAATAGAAATAATTGTCCGAATAGGAGGGTGACCGAAGGGGACGCTCTCCCATCCATGAAGGCCAAATGGTGCCAATTGGTCTTAATTTGGGGTTCAGGTAATTGTCTCCCACAGATCCCTTCAGCTTGTTAGTCCCTTCATGTTATTGGTCCCTTCGTACTCACCAGGAAAGATGATGCAGATGAACCTGAAAACTGTGGCTCAGCCTGTGAAGTTTCTTGGCTTTGTGCCAGAAAGGATTCAGAGCAAACTGAAAGTAAATTTATTAGAGCAACAAAGTATAAGGAAATGACTGCTCCATAGACAGAGCAAGGCTTTTCCATAGGCAGAGTAGCTCTGCTTGCTTGCTGGCTAGTTATATTTATAGCTACTCCTTAACTATGGTAAGTAGTGGGTGGTTATTCATGAATTTTCTGGAAAAGAGGTGGAGAGTTTCCAGAAACTAGGGTTTCTCCCATTTTAAACCGTATAAGGTAACTTCTGGGCATTGCCATGGCATTTGTAAACTGTCAGGGAACTGTTGGGAGTGTCTTTTAGCATGCCAATGCATTATAGTTAGAGTATAATGAGCAATGAGGATGACTAGAAGTCACTTTCATTGCCATCTTGGTTTTAGCTGATTTCAGCCAGTTTCTTTACTGCATCCTGCTTTGACCAGCGGGGTTGTGACTGGTGCTTGGAAAACAAGTCCTGATGATCCACCTGAATTCCAGAATGTATACATATTTCAAAACATCATGTTGTACATGATAAATATATGTAATTTTATCTGTCAGATAAAATGTTAAAAAAAGAAATTCACTGCTTCCAATACATACAAAACATACAAAGTGAGTGCTTAGGTCAGGACTTCATTCACAGAAAGTGCTTAATAGAAATTAGTTATAATCATTATCACAATTGTCATCATTATTCTTATTTTTGTATTATCCTATTTCTCATTCTGTTTTTCTTGGGAATTACAACTACATTTTTTAAAAGTTATACTTTAAGTTCTACGGTACATGTACAGAAAGTGCAGATTTGTTACATAGGTATACACGTGCCATGGTGGTTTGCTGCACTCATCAACTCATCTATCCCTCCCCTAGCCCCCAACCCCACAACAGGCCCCAGTGTGTGATGTTCCTCTCCCTGTGTCTATGTGTTCTCATTGTTCAACTCCCACTTAAGAGTGAGAACATGCAGTGTTTGGTTTTCTGTTCCTGTGTTAGTTTGCTGAGAATGATGGTTTCCAGCTTCATCCATTTCCCTGCAAAGGACCTGAACTCATCCTTTTTCATGGCTGCATAGTATTCCATGGTGTATATGTGCCACATTTTCTTTATCCAGTCTATCATTGATGGGCATTTGGGTTGGCTCCAAGTCTTTGCTGTTGGAAATAGTGCTGCAGTAAACATACATGTGCATGTGTCTTTATAGTAGAATGATTTATAATCCTTTGGTTATATATCCAGTAATGGGATTGCTGGGTCAAATGGTATACAACTACATTTTTAAAGGATAAATTTTATTTTTAAAAACAGTGTTGTTTGCATGTATTTACAAAATAGGCACTCATAAGAAATTATGAAAATGCATTTATTTTTAAAAAGGCATTGCATGCAAGATGTGACCTGATACAAGGTCCCGAGAACACAGAAAATGTCTGCATCCAGTGATGTGCAGCTCCATGGGTTAGAAATGTCCTCCTAAAAACATGTTTCTGAGTTCTCCCACAGGAACCACAAGCTAAGTACAGACAGATCTTTTGGTCCTTGGCACTGACTCTCCTTTCTCCTTCTTTCAGAGGACCAGAACAGGATGGGATCTGTCATTCATCAGAGCTTTTAAACTTAGTTCTGCTCAGGCATCTCACAGTGGCCCCCACCAGCTCCCTCATTTTAACTACAGAGACATTGAAGAGTATTTTCATCTCAGAAGAGAAAATAAGTGATGGGATAGACTTTAATTTCCAAAGACCTGGTTGGTGGCTCCAGTAAGCATCCCAGGTGAGAAAACAACCTACCGTTGTGCTGTCTGTATGTGTAAGCGGATGACATTAATGACAGATTTTTTGTTTGTTTGTTTGAGACAGCGTCTTGCTCTGTCGCCCAGGCTGGAGTGCAGTGGCGCGATCTCAGCTCACTGCAAGCTCCGCCTCCCGAGTTCACACCATTCTCCTGCCTCAGCCTCCCATGTAGCTGGGACTACAGGCACCCGCCACACGCCTGGCTGATTTTTTTGTATTTTTAGTAGAGAAGGTGTTTCACCATGTTAGCAAGGATGGTCTCGATCTCCTGACCTTGTGATCCACCCACCTTGGCCTCCCAAAGTGCTGGGATTCCAGGCATGAGCCACTGCGCCCGGCCATGCTAGATTTTGAAATGCAGTGGTCTGACACAGACATTGAATCCTGCTACGCCTGTGGGGACTGAAGAAGAGTGGTGATGTACTTGTTATCGTTTGTCTGGAACCACAGTCTGCTGCATACCTTAGACTCCGGTGCCATCCCTGAAGGGTATTCAGTGTTGGACCAATTTTTATGACTTTTCAGCTGACTCATGGTTTCACTTTAAATCATTTAATTATCATTACTGAAAAAAAAACATGTAATGTTATTTCCCTTTTACTGATGAAGGAACAGGTTGAGAGGTGAAACAATTTGCTTACATTTATAAGGCTAATTAATTCTGGAGACCAGATGAGAAATCAAGTCTGTTTGACCCAGGGCTCTTAATCCCTAACTTCAAAGCATCTGACTATATCTGAATCTTTTAGCATTTCATTACATTCTTGATATGGATTCTTTTCTATAATCTACATTTATGATCACTGTCATCCAGTTTCATGATACAAACTTATTTCTACATCTCTGGTAATTTCCTTTTCAGCTGTTTTGTTTTCAGTGCTTTCTTTTCCTTTGCTGGCATGTAAAACCAGATTTTAATGTATAGATATTTTTTGCCTTAACTTTATTTTTATCAGTTACATTTATCAATTATATTTCTTTTGCTCCAGCCAATAATACTTTCAATTCTTCCTGGGTGCAGTGGCTCACGCCTATAATCCCAGCACTTTGGGAGGCCAAGGTGAGCTGATCACCTGAGTTCAGGAGTTTGAGACCAGCCTGGCCAACATGGTGAAACCCTGTCTCTACTAATAATACAAAAATTAGCTGAGCATGGTGGTGTGCACCTGTAATCCCAGATACTTGGGAGGCTGGGGCACGAGAATCGCTTGAACCCTGGAGGTGGAGGTTGCAGTAAGCTGATATCATGCCACTGTACTCTAGCCTGGGTGACAGAGCAAGGCTCTGCCTAAAAAAAAAAAAAAATACTTTCAATTATTTTTGTAGAGAATTGTATACTATAGAGAATGGAGATATAATTTTTTAAAAGTAAGTTTTCATGAAAATGTTGTTTTTAGCCCTTTCATGTATAGTTGTTTGTCCTCTTGTAAAATAAAACTTCATTCTAGCTGTAGTGCTGAGTATGAAAGGTGTCAAGAATGTTGCTGTTAATCTGTTTCATACCCACAAGCAGGCAACAATATAAATTTTGTGAGCCCTTGAAACTTTTGCCCTTGTGAGTTCTTTCCTCCATAAAAAGTATTAAAAATTATATTTTATGAGTGTATTGGCATAAAGATAAATATAATCCAGTTGTACTTAGATTATATTCATTTTCTTCTTCTTCTTTTAAAGAAATTAAGCATTAAGCATTTCAGCGGCTCCTAAAAGTATCATGGGCTGTTGGCACTACTGTGCCTTAATAAATATGTCAGCCTAGCCTAATATATGTCCTCCTAATAAAAATTGATGGAGACAGGATAAGATAATTGACTGTCCCAAGTTTAATCAATCAAGAAATAGAATAAATCTCTATAAAATATCACCAGATATTCTTGCCTAAATGTTTGTGTCACCAGACTTATTTATCATCAGTTGTCATTATTTGCTTCCAGAGCTTCTTAATGACATTTTTCACTGCTTTATTTTTGACAGTGTAGATTAAAGGGTTCAACATAGGTGTAAATAGGGTGCAAAACACAGTCACAGCTTTGTCAGTGGGGAAGGAGGTTAGAGGTCTTAGATACAGGTATGAACAAGGGACAAAGAATAAGATGACAGTGAAGATATGAGAGGCACAACTAGACAGAGCTTTGAGATGCCCTTCAGAGCTATGAGACCTTAGGGAGCACAAGATGATGACATAGGAAGCATCCAGTATGGAAAAAATGAGGAAACACAGTGACCCACTGTTGGCAGCAATCAGAGGCCCTAAAGTGTGAGTGTCTGTGCAGGCCAGCTCCAGAAGAGGTACTAAATCACACATAAAGTGGTCGATGACATTGGGGCCACAGAATGGTAACTGGGCTATGAACAAAGTCTGGATTCCTCCATGCACAAATCCCAGAATTCCAGCCACCACCATCAGGAATCCACACATAGATTGGGTCATGATGGTTGCATAGTGCAAGGGCTTACAGATGGCCACATAGCAGTCGTAGGCCATGACACTTAATAAGATGGTCTCAGCTGCCGCAAAGAAATGTTCTGTGAAGAGCTGAGTCATGCAGCCATTGAAGGATATGGTGTTGTTTTCAGAGATCAAGTCAAAGATCATTTTAGGGGCTATGGAAGAAGAGTAGAAAATATCTATAATGGATAACTAGGACAGAAAAAGGTACATGGGGGAACCCAGGGCTGGGCTGATGAAGATGATGACTGAGATGAGCAGGTTACCTGCCAGTGTGATCAAGTAGGTGATTAAAAACATAACAAACAGGAATTTCTGCAGTTCTGGATTGTGAGTGAGGCCCAGCAGGATGAATTCTGTTACATTGTTCATCTCTTTTTTCATAGATTTAGCTCAGGTTGTGTGTATATGGCCCACCTGAAAAAAAATAGTATTTCTGAATGATGATATTTTAAATTCAATACTAAAATATTTCATCACCTCTTTAGTCCTGGTTTTTGGGGGTGATGGAGCTACATTGCCACTCACCTCTGCTGTTTTGCAGAGTTGTAAAGAAGAACAGAAGATTAGATTTCTCCTAATTCATATATTAATTAAATAGTGATAATATCTTACAAGTACCACAAACAAGATCTTGTTATAAATGTTGACTTCCAAACTTCCTTTCTGGCTCTAAAATTTCACATATGGCTTTCTTTCATTTTGGGGGAGGACAAATCTTATCAATAACAATTGTTTTGAAATTATATTTTCTCTTGTTATGGTTATTTATAGGTATATGAACCCAGTATGTGTATTAGATACTAATATGCATATTTGATACTAAAGTGCAAAGCCTTACTAATTCTAAGCCAGCTGTGTTCTGTGATCTATTGTCCTTTTCTGTCATGTAAATGCACATGTACACAGATTGAGACAGAGCTGCAAATGGAGATATTCTTCTTTCAGAATGCTGGGTAACTATCACAATAACAGCTCATTGAGGATAATTCATTCAACATCCCTGAATGTTGCATCTATCTCTAAATGACCCTTTTTTTCATGCTCACTCTTTCTGCATCTTTAATTGTGGCTATATAAATGGTGCAAAGTTATAATATTTAATGATATTTCATAAATACATTTCCCTCACGGTTGAACTTTTATCACATACAGAATTATACACCAGATTAGATATACTTCCCCACTCACATCTTACAAATGGAATTAAATGAGTCATGATGTTTTCCCTGAGTTTTCTATCGGCAAGACAGAAATGTCTGGGTCACCTGAGATAATGCAATTTTCTCTTTTGGCATAAGTTCAGTCAATTAAGATGAACTTGTAGTTTTCATTGCTAACTGGTAAACAACTGGAAATTTGTATTGCTAATGGAAAACATTCAGTATTATAAGAATGTAGATATTTTTGAATAATCTAGACAAAGAGTTTCAAGAGTAAGTACATATTGTTACAAAAGAGCATAAGATATTTTATTTCTTCTCCTCCCCCTTTTCTCCTTCTTTCCCTAACCCCTGGCAAAAATGTAACCACATAGTTTTCCTCAAAAATTTCTAGAAACAGAAATCAGTCAGCGTCATGACCTCTGAGCTTCATTAAAGGTGAGTAAAAATATCTTTGGTTTTCAGGAAAACTCAGTTGCTAAGTTGCTTTCTCTTTATTCATGGCTTCTGTAGATGGTGATTATATGGTTAATCATCCTTAATGGATTTAATTCACAAATTCTAACTTCAATGTAGCAATATGGGAAGTCACGAAAAGGGGAAAAACATTTCAAGCATGACAAACAGAAATCTACAGAATCAGTGTATTCAGTGAGACATAAATGTTAACCATGATGTTTTAAAAGTGACTTCAGTAAGTTTTTAGCAGCATCTGGTCTGGCAACATTATGCATAGGCTTTTCTATTGATATTTTTATGTCAGTGTGTCCAAATTCATTTTCAGAGAAAAATACTCAACTTTAAGTCAAGTACGGAATGACAAAAACTACTTCACTGAAAACAAATTGGCTAAAACAAGTTAATCTGCTCAAAATTTAGGAGAAAAAGTATAGTTTTCACTGACCCGGATCTAGTTGATTGTGGATTCCTCCAATTTTAGATTGAGTGCAGTCACTGCTTTCTTCTCCTGCAGGCATGGAACATGGCCACAAATAGATTCTATGAGCTGACAAGTGGGATATTGGAATTCCCTAGATGGCTCTCCCAATTCTGACATTTTAGTTTATTTTGCTTTCCATTGTCAGTCTGAATTTACTAAGAAAACAAGATGTTTCAGTTAGGAAACTTCAGTATCTCTAGGATTGAGTGTCTACTCACTTTCTGGGTTTCCTATGAATGTATAAGCCAATCTTCAAAATATATCTATTTTTCAGATCTCTTAGGACTCTATTCAATCCAGATTAAAAACTAGGAATAATGCAAAATTCTTCAAATTTGGAAAATGCAACTATAAAATGAATAAGTAAATCAAATCCACTTGATTGGATATTGTTTTCTCAAATCTATTCTGATGAAATTTTGTTTCCTTGAGTCCCTGAAAAATGTGGTGAAAGAATTCCTTTTATTTATGATTCAAGTTCTCCTTCAACTCTGTTTTCCTAGAAACCCACTAAGCTCAGGAGTGGTGTTTCCCAAACAAATCTTCATCATTTTGCATCCTGTCTCTGCTGCTGTCATTTGCTCACAGGTCCTTCTTTGTAATTCTTTCTTCATTGGCTCTAGAGAAATATTTAAATAGACTATCACAGACTGCAGGATTTGGCAATGCATTGACCTTTCAAGTATCCAGAGGATTAGCAATTGGCCTTGTTGGAATGTTTGGCAAAGCAATAGTCAGGTCCTTCATTCACTCTCACTTGGCACTCACAAACGTCATTAGTGGCTAGTTTTAGAAATGCAGTTGAACTTGGGTTAAAGATATGTCTGTGGCTATTGTTTAGGATAAGATTTGGAAACCTTCACTGTAGGGCTGTTTTGCTAACTGTGGCATTGTTGAGCCTAGGATATGGCATGGTTTTAGGCAAAGGTCAGAGTTCAGAGAATAAATTTTTTTCTGAACCCTTGTCTGGTCTAAATGGTATGGTTGCTCTGAAGAATGGGGAATACCAGTATTCAAGGTCATGCGTCAGATTACTCTGGGAGATTGTGAGATTTTTATTAATGGCTGACTGAGGGGACTTACATGGCAGGATTTCCAACTACCAAAGATTGGGTCATTTAAACTGACAGAGATATCAACTTCCTGTAGGATGATTACCTAGATGACATGTTCTCATGATGAATTCAAGAGTATATATCTTTTCTTTCTACCCCACAAAGAGAGAATGGTGTGACTTGGAGTAGGTGTCACGCTTTCCCACATTGCCATTGAGAATCAATCACATTCAGCCAAGCACTTACGTATGATGACATCCAGAGGTGGAGAATAGAGACATTCTAGAAGAAGGCTCCACTGCTATCTTCTCTCCTTCAGCTTGTGAGGTGATGAGGAACTGACAGCAATTTTGCATGGAATCACCTTTTCTGCTCTCAACTTTTGGTTTCAAAACAAACTGACACACTCCCAAAGTCCAGGACCAGAAAACAAAACCTTCCTCTATTCTCAATGGAATGGGGGCCTTACTCATTGGCCTAGAGCCTGGAACTAGCCTGGTGCTGGGGCAGGAATGGACCCTGGGTCTACAAAGACCAGTCTGGAGTCTGAGATTGCAGGGGCTGGCCTGGTCCCTGGAATCATAGGGTTCTGGAATATGGAGCTGTGGGGATATGCTTAAAACTTGGGTCTTCAGGGGCCAGACTGGAGACTGGGTGTATAAGTGCTAGTCTAGGAATTGAGTTCACGATGGATGGATGGGTCCTGGGGCCTCAGATGCTGGCCTGAAACGTAGGTCCACAGTAGCATTCCTAGAGCCTGGGTCCAGCAGGGTAGGCCTAGTGCTGGGGTTTATTGGGATGGGCCTGGACCCTGGGTATTCAAGAAGCCCTGAGTCCTAGGTCTGCTAAAAAGTAGGAATGCTGGGGTTGGCCTGGTGGGTGGGGCCACAGGGACCAGTCTCATACTGCATAAGCCTGGATCCTGTGTCTGTGAGTGCTAGCCTGGTACCTGAGGCCAGGGGTGCTGACCTGATGCTGGAGTGGGCCTGAAGCCTGGTGCTGTGTAGGCCAACCTTGCTCTGAGCTGGTCTGGAACCTGGTGCAGAGCTGGAAACTGGGGTCACAGGGGCTGGCCTGGTACTAGGCAAGCTGGGAGCCTGGACCTGAGAGTCAGCTTGGAGTCTGGATCTGTGGATATGGACCTTATGACTAGGGCTATGGGGCCTGCCTCACACTGGGGTAGGCTTGAAACCTGGAGCCACTGGAGTTGGCCTGGCAAAGTTGTGGGTCCAGAGACCAAGTCAGCAAGGGACTCCTGGAACCTGGGACCATGGGGTACTGGCCAGTGCTGAATTTTACTGGGGCTATTCTGATATTAGAGCCTGAGGCAAAGTCCAGTGTTCATTTCCCTCTCCTTCCTTCATGCAGAGGCTATTTCTCTCTATGCCATGCTGCCTGGGGTTGTGGGGAACACAGGTGGTGACACAGGTAATGTAAAATCATCCTTCCTACCCTCTTCAATGCATCTTTTCTTATTTCTGTGCTACACCCAGGTGCTATAATATCTCAGCTGGTTTCCTTAGCTCTTGTGAAGGTATTTTTGAATGTAGATAGTTCAAACTGATGCTTCTGTAGAGGGACAAGAGTTGTCTGGTGAGAATCTTCATATCATTATTGATAAAGAAACTTAAGGTTGAGAGATTCTGTTTTGGTTCCTATTTTCCTGACAAGTAGGAGGTGTAATTTTCTGAGATTAAAGGAAAATTTGTGGAATATAGATGTATTAGTTCTCATACTGCTGCTATAAGGAACTACCTGAGACCAGGAAATTTATGAAGAAGAGATTTAATTGACTCATAGTTCTGCAGGCTGTACAGGAAGCATGGCTGGGGGCCCTCAGGAAGCTTACAATCATGGTGGAAAGTGAAGGGGAAGCAAGCACATCTTACTATGGTGGAACAGGAAACACAGTGAAGGGGAAAGTGCTACACATGTTTAAACAACCCAATCTCATGAGGACTTACTATCATGAGAATAGCAAGGTGGAAATCCACCCCCATAATCCAATCACCCCCAACCAGTTCCCTCCCACAACATTGAAAATTACAATTCAACATGAGATTTGTGTGGGGACACAGAGCCAAACCATGTAATTATGCCCCAGCCCCTCCCAAATTTAACAACCTTATCACATTTCAAAACACAATCATGCCTTCCAACAGTCCCCCCAAATCCTAACTAATTCTAGCATTAACTCAAAAGTCCAAGTCCAAAGTCTAATCTGAGACAAGGCAAGTCCTTTCCTCCTGTGTGCCTATAAAGCCAAAAACAAGTTAGTTACCTCCAAGATACAATGGGGGTATAAGCATTGGGCAAGCAAATGTCCCCATTCCAAAAGGGAGAAATTGGCCAAGACAAAGGGGCTACAAGCCCCATGCAAGTCCGAAACCCACCTGGGTAGTCATTAAATCCTAAAGCTCCAAAGTAATCTCCTTTGACTACATGTCTCACATCCAGGCCACACTGATGAAAAAGAAGTTGGGCTCTCAAGGCCTTGGGCAGCTCCATCCCTGTGGCTCTGCAGGGTACAGTCCCTGTGGCTGCTTTCATAGGCTAACATTGAGTGCCTGCAGCTTTTCCAGGTACATGGGGCAAGCAGTGGGTAGATCTATCATTCTGGGGTCCGGAGGATGGTGGCCCTTTTCTCACAGTTCCAGTAGGCAGTGCTTCAGTGAGGATTCTGTGTGGGGGCTCTCACTCCACATTTCCCCTTTGCACTGCCCTAGTAGAGGTTCCCCAATGAGAACTGCAGCAGATGTCTGCCTGGACATCAAGACATTTCCATACATCCTTTGAAATCTAGACAGAGTCTCCCAAACCTCAACTTTTACCTTCTGTACACCTGTAGGCCCAACACCATGTGGAAGCTTGGGCCTTGCACCCTCTGAATCAATGGCCTCATCTGTACTTTGGCCCCTTTTAGCCATGACTAGAGCTGGAGAGGCTGGGAGGCAGGGTGCCATGTTCTGAGGCTGCACACAGCAGGAAGGCTTTGGGCCTGGCCCATGAAACAATTTTTTTCCTCTTAGGCCTCCAGGCCTGTGATGAGAGGTGCTGCCGCAAAGGTCTCTGAAGTGCCATGGAGTCATTTTCTCCATTATCTTGGCTATTAACATTTGGCTTTTCTTTACTTATGCAAATTTCTGCAGCCTTGAATTCCTCCCCAGAAAATGTTTTTTTTTCTTTTCTACCACATAGTTGGGCTGCAAATTTCCCAAGCTTTTATGCTCTGCTTCCCTTTTTAATATAAGTTTTATTTTCCAGTCATTTATTTGTTTATGCAAATGAGCATAGGCTTTTAGAAGCAGCCAGGCTACATGTTAAATGCTTTGGTGCTTAGAATTTTTCTGCCAGGTACCCTAAACCATCTCAAGTTCAAAGTTCCACAGATCTCTAGAATGGGGGCACAATGCTACCACTTTCTTTGCTAAAGCATAGGAAGAGTGACCTTTACTTTAGTTCCCAATAAGTTCCTTATCTCCATCTGATACTTCATTAGCTTGGCCATCTCTTTCCATATCACTATCAGCATTTTGGTCCAAACCATTCACAAACCTCTAGGAAGTTCCAAATTTTCCCACATCTTCCTGTCTTCTTCTGAGCCCTGTATCTGTTAGAATCTTTGACTATTACCTAGTTCCAAAGTTGCTTCCACTTTTTCAGGTATCTTTGTAGCAATGCCCCACTTCTCTGGTAGTACCAATTTTCTATATTAGTCCATTCTCACATTGCTATAAAGAACTACCTGAGACTGGGTAATTTATGAAGAAAAGAGGTTTAATTGACCCACAGTTCTGTAGGCTGTACCAGAAGCATGGGTGGAAGGCCTCAGGAAACTTACAATAGTGGCAGAAGGTGAAGGGGAAGCAAGCAAGGGAGCGAGAGAGAGAGAGCAAAGGGGGACGTTCTAGGTATGTTTAAACAACCATATCTCATGAAAACTCACTCACTATCACAAAATACAGCAAGGGGGAAATCTGTCCCCATGATCTGATCACCTCCCACTAGGTACCTCCCACAACACTGGGAATTACAATTTGGCATGAGATTTGTGTGGGGACACAGAACCAAACCATATCAATAAGTTAATGAAATTGGAAGAATATATAGGAAACAAACAGAAAAACATGCCATGCTCATGGATTAGAAGAATCAATGTGAAAATGACCATATTACTCAAAGCAATCTATAGATTCAGTACAATTCCTATCAAAATACCAACCTCATTTTTCACACTATTAGAAAAACAAACCTAAAATTCATATGGAAACAAAAAAGAGCTCAAATAGCTAAAGCAATCCTAAGCAAAAAGAACAAAGCTGGAGGCACCACATTACCTGACTTTAAATTATCCTACAAGGATATAATAACCAAAATAGCATGGTACTGATATAAAAGTATACATATAGACAAATAGAAGATAATAGAGAACCTAGAAATAATGACAAATATCTACAACCAACTGATCTTTGACAAAACAGACAAAAATAAAACAAAAACAAACAAAAAACATGCACTGGGGAAAGGATGACCTATTCAATCATGGTGCTGGGAAAATGGGACAGCCACATTCAGAAGAAGGAAACCAGATTTCTATCTCTCATCACATACAAAAATTAACTCAAGGTGGATTAAAAAATTCAATGTAAGACCTGAAACCATAAAAATTCTAGAAGAACCTAGGAAAAACTTTTTTGAACATTGACCTAGGCAAAGAATTTATGTCTAAGACTCCAAAAGCAAATGCAACAAAAATAAAAATAAATAGGACTTAATTAAACTGAAATGATTCTGCATAGCAAAAGAAATAATCAACAGAGCAAATAGACAACCTACAGAATAAAAAAAATTATAAACTCGACATTTGACAAAGGACTAATATCCAGAATCTACAAGGAACTCAAACAAATTAGCAAGGAAAAACCAAATAATCCCACTAAAATGTGAGCAAATGATATGAATAGACATTTCTCAAAAGAGGATATACAAATGGCCAACAAACATAAAAAATACTCAACATCACTAATCATCATGGAAATGCAAACTAAAACCACAACAATAGATGTTGGTGTGGATGAGGTGAAAAGGGAATGCTTAAACATTATTGGTGGGAATATAAATTGGTAAAGCCTCTATGGAAAACATACGAAGATTTCTCAAAGAACTAAAAGTAGGTCTACCATTTAATCCAGCAATCCCACTACTGGGCATCTAACCAAAGGAAAATAAGTCATTATATTAAAAAGAAACTTGCATGTGTATGTTTATCACAGCACAATTCACAACTGCAAACACATGGAATCAACCTAACTGAACATCAACCAATAAAGAAAATGTGGCGTGTATATATCATGGAATATTACTCAGCCATAAAAAAGAACTAAATAATATCTCTTGCAGGAACTTAGATGGAACTGGAGGCTGTTATCCTAAGTGAAGTAACTCAGGAAGAAAAAACCAAATACTGCATGTTTTCACTTATAAGTAGGAGCTAAGCTATGGATACACAAAAGTATGCAGACTGGTACACTAGACACTGGAGACTCAGAAGCGGGAAGGGTGAGAGGTAGATGAGGGATAAAAAAGTCAGCTATCAGGTACACCGTACACTATTCAGTGATAGGTACCCTAAAAGCCCAGACTTCACCATTATACATGGATAAATTTATGTAAACAAAACCACTTATAAAGCTATTGAAATTAAGAAAAGAGATGTTCAAAAATGTAAAATAACGCCACTCTTCTAATTTTTTTGTGAGAAAATATATTTGTGGAAAACATATCTATCAAAGAAATAATATCAGAAAAACTTCCAAACTGAAGGACACGTGTTTCCAGATTAAAATGAACTTCTGAATGCTTAACACAGTAAATACAAAGCAGGAAGAGGAAGAGATAAAAGAAAAAAAGAAGACATATAAGGCCATGTTATGAAACTTCATCACACTGTAGATCCCATGAGAAGCACAAGGTCAGAGATAACCAACACCATGCACAGTTGTGTCTTTCCATGATGTCTGACTTTTATTGATGCCATCTCAATCATAAAAGCCTCAAGCTACATGGATTTCCCAAGGAGGCAATTCTCCTTAGTACTTCCCATTCACTTGGTAGTCAGAGCCGCAGGCACAGAGCCTGACAAGCCATTCCCTAAGTCAGTCAATACTGCAAATCCTACATAATAGTACACTTAATCAGTATATAAATGTTATAGATTAAACATTCTATAGCAAACAAAGTAATATTTAACATCAAGAAAAAGGGGATAGGAAAAGAGGTTAACAAACCAGTCCAGGGAGAGCAATGTAGACAAAAAGAATTTCCTTGTCTGGGCCAGGTGGTCCATTGGTCTTGCAAGAAAGCGTCTTTGATGTCGACAGAGCCTTCGGTGGCAGATTCCAGGTGCTTATCTCAAGTGACAACAAGACAGTGTCTGTTAAGACAGCTGATTCGAGTTGCTGAAGTCCTGTTCTTTTTATGGCCACAGAGTCCTCTGGTGAGGACTGATAGTGGAGGCATGTGCTTGGTTATGTCCTTACCTGATTGGATGTAGTGATGTATGTATGTATGTATGTATGTATGTATGTATTTATTTATTTATTTATTTATTTTTGAGACAGTCTCACTATATTGCCCAGGCTGGAGTGCAGTGGTGAGATCTCTGCTCATTGCAGCCTCCGCTTCCCGGGTTCAAGTGAGTCTTGTGCCTCAGCCTGCTGAGTAAGTAGCTGGAATTACAGGTGCCAGCCACCAAGACTGGCTAATTTTTATACTTTTAGTAGAGGTAGGGGTTTACTATGTTGACCAGGCTGGTCTTGAACTCCTGACCTCAGGTTATCTGCCCGCCTCAGCCTCCCAAAATGCTGGGATTATAGGCATAAGCCACCACACCTGGCCTGGATGCAGTTTTTACTGATCAGGCAAAACATCTGGTCTCAGCTGACAAAGTGCCTTATGAAATGTAAGGTAGATCTTTTTCTAAGATGGAGTTACTTATGTCAAGGGTGCACTATACGACGGATAAGTAGATCTTGAAAGATTTCAGAGGAGAATATGAGACCATATATAAAGGAACAGAAATCAAAATGACATTACCCTTGCCAACAATACTTGAAGCTATAAGACAATGCAGCAATGCTTTCATTCTTAGAAAAAATAGTTATCAATCTAAAATAATATCCCCAGCAAAACGATCAATTTTGAGTGCTGAAGAAAGGCATTTTTAGGCATCGTATGGGAGAGTGTTATAATAATGATCCCAAAGAACCATACATCTCTGTACCCACACCACTTTGCAATGGGACTTTGCTGTTTCTCCCAGTGAGAGAGGGGGGGTCTATTTCTTCACCCTTTTGACCTGGGTTGGCCTTATGAGTTATTTTGACCAATAAGACAAGAAAGAAGGGACATTGTGTGAGTTCCACAGCTGAGGCTTTAAGAAGTCTTGAAACTTCTCTCACCTTCTTGGAACCCTGAGACCACCATGCTCTGAGAAGCCAGTGGAGGATGAGACATGTCTAAAACTCATACATCAAAATGCAGCAATATAAAGTGAAGTTCTTAAAGCAGCTGAATACTAATCTCTATTTGACTGTCTTTTTCTTTAGAATTATTTATATATTTAGGGTATGAGATTTGTGTTATATTTTGCAAATATTTTCATTATAGCTCCTCTTTTAACTTGGTGGCATTTTAAAAATAATACACAAGTTTTTTTATTTTTTGGAGGTCTCTTTATGCTTTTGAGGTTTTGTTTCTTGATTAAGAAGGACTTCTCTCTATGCAACGATTTAATCTTATTTCTTTAAAAAAAGCAAAACAAAGGGAAAAAAAGCTAACAGTATAAGCAACTGGTTGGTGCAATATGATGGTAGCTATCAAAGAGAGAGCTAGGAGTCTAAAGTAGTTGTCTGTAACGAGTGGTCTGGAGAGGAGGGCCAGGCAGGGACTTGCTGCTTTTCTATTATACCTCTCTTTCCCTAGCATTCCAACCTGAAAACTGAACTAATAAAGAGTGTCCTGAATCCAACCACTTACTATCCTCACTCCCACCGGTCTGCTCAAGTCCATCATTTCTTCCCTAAATGACCACAAAAGCTGGCCCACTGGTGTCCTGCATCTGTCTTCCACCTTTGCCCATTTCAGATATCTATTGCTGTGAAATAAACCACTTACAAACAAAAACAAACAAACAAGAATGGGTAGAAAGAAGGACCTGTCTATGTTAGCCAGAAATTTTGCTCAGGAAGTTTTGAAGACCTAGTTCATATTGGAGTTCACAAATTTTTGGCACCCCCCTTAATGTATAATTGTATAATTTTCTTCAGTATTGCCTTACATTGTACGTAAAGGGAAAAAGAAGATGGTTTATAAATTTATGGTTTAAATATGTCAGTTACCATAGTGAGCTACACCAAAGCTGAAAAAGGCTCTATTTGAACTTGATTTTGCAAGGATTGGTATTTACCCATCCTATGCTATTTGACAATCAAGATAATTGCAAAAGTTATGTTAACTGTTCTAAGTCCTTTAAAAGATAAGGTTAATTGTATCATTAGTCAGCATAAGCTGCATTTTTCTGTGGTAACATATGAATTCTGAACTATCAGTGGTTTAACACATACAATTTTATTTCCTGTTCAAGCCAAATCTGCTGAGCTGTGGTTTAGGCGATGCTCTAGGGAACTGTTCTCCATGTAGTTACTCAGAAATCCAGGCTGTTGCTTCTGTATAGCTGTTTCGTATCAGTTTGTGTCTCCCAGGTTTGCTGCAGCAGGGAAAATAAAGCTGGGGAGTAGCTTGCTGGCTCTTAAATGGTTATGCCTCAATGTGACATATATCACTTCTGCAAACATGGCTTTCCTTAAAAAGGAGTGGGCTGGAAAACATAGTGGTAGCACATAGATATTTCATGACCAGAAAATGGGTTAGCCACAATTGAGAAAAACTCATCTCCTTGGAATAAATTGTTTACTAAACTGATGAATATTAATTTGTACGTAATATATACTTAACATAAGAGTTAAGTATGCTTATGGAGTCCAGTGGATTAATTCAGTTCTTACGAAGGTAGAAGTGAAGTTGCTGAGATTTATAGGACTTCTGGCCTGGCTCTGGTCTAGATCTTTTTAAAAATCTGGATTATTTTTCTTAGGATTGCACTGTATCCACATCTGAAATTACTTCCAATCTCAATGGTCTGCAGTTGGGCTGCAGTTCTTTATTCAAATTTGAATGTGCAGAATTTCTGCCTTAATTACTCACATATCACCAGTTCTCTTTTTTTCATTTTTTGAGATGGAGTCTCACTGTGTTGCCCAGCCTGGAGTGCAGTGGCGCAATCTTGGTTCACTGCATCCTCTGCTCCCTGGGTTCAAGTGGTTCTTGTGCCTCAGCCTCCTGAGTAGCTGGGATTACAGGCATGGCCACCAAGCCCAGCTAATTTTTCTATTTTTAGTAGAGATGGGGTATTACCATGTTGGCCAGGCTGGCCTCAAACTCCTGGCCTCAAGTGATCTGCCTGTCTCTGCCTCCCAAAGTGTTGGGATTACAGGCATGAGCCACCACACCCAGCCACCAATTCTCTTTTGGGTCAGCTACTTTGTTTCTATTAGCTAAGGCACAAATCCATCCAATAAAAGCCATTTTTGAGGTGAAGTGGTGTATAGGATATTTTCGACAGAAAAAAAGTGCTTCACAAAACATCTTCTACCTGAGAAATAATGTCCAAGATTGTTCTATGATTGTACCTGGATGAATTTTCTACCCCTCTTTGACTTTAGAGAAAATAATTTATTCTGGAGAGAGCCAGATTATAATGTAAGTGATCACCCCTGGAGTTGTGAACACAACAGCATTCATTTTGGATGAGTGCTGCCTTAACTCTCATTCCTCAAAACCCAATCATTTCTCACCTATCTCTCTCTTTCACAATAATAGTTCTACTTCAATTTTATTAGTTGGGATTAAAACTATGCATTTTCAACAAAAGATTTAGCCATTAGGGCTTTTTGTTTATTCTAATTATTTGGCCTGTTAGTTATATACTCTATACCGAAGCTTTGCAGATAATTGTTCTACTAAACACATAAACTCATGGGTTTTCCATACACTGTAACATGTTTATGTTGACTAGCAATGTCCCGCAATTAATAATTTGTAAATGTGAAGAAGTTTCTAACTGGCAGAAACATTAGTCATCATTTAATCAGATACTGATCTTTTATGAAAAAGGATCATTAAAGATTCCAGAAAATAAGGGGAATAAAATATACTTAAACTCACATATTCTGACCTCAAGACCTTTACCCTTTTCATTAGTCATACCTGTTGTTAAAATATGAGTAGGTTCTGTGTTTATCTTCTCTAATCACACAAATTGTTACCCCAGATTATTTGGCTCCAGAGCTGCTTCATGGCATTTTTCCCCTCTGTGCTTCTGAGAGTATAGATTAAAGGGTTTAACATGGGTGTTACCACAGTGTAAAACACAAACACAGCTTTATCAATAGGGAAGGTGATCATGGGTCAAAGGCACATGAATATACAGGGAACAAAGAATAGGATGACTACAGTGATATGGGAGGTGCAAGTAGAGAGAGCCTTCCACTGTCCTTCTGTGCTGTGAGTCTTTAGTAAGCAGAGGATTAGGACATAAGAGGTAATAAGAATAGAAAAAATGAGCATAAACATCAGCCCACTGTTGGCGGCAACAAAGAGTCCGAAGACGTGAGTGTCAGTGCAGGAGAGTTTTAGCAGAGGGAAAAGGTCACAGATTAAATGGTCAATGACATTGGGGCCACAGAAGGGCAGCCAGACTATTAAAAGCATTTGAATCAGAGCATGAAGAAATCCCCCGGCCCATGCCATGGCCACCAGTAGGCCACACACCTTCCTGTTCATTGTGATCAGGTAGTACAGGGGCTTGCAGATTGTCTCATAGCGGTCATAGGCCATTACCACGAGCAGAATGATCTCAACTCTCCCAAAGAAATGTTCTGCAAAGAGCTGGGTCATGCACGCACTGAAGGAGATAGTTTCCTTTCAGTGAGTAAGTTAAATATCATTTTGGGGGCCATGGTAGAAGAGCAGCAGCCATCTATGAAGGACAAGAAAGACAGAAAAAAATACATGGGGGAGTGCAGGGCTGGGCTGGTGGTGATTGTCACCACAATGAGTAGGTTGCCTACCATGGTGAGAAATTAGATGAGTGTAAACACAGCAAACAAGAGTTTCTGTGCCCCTGTGTTCTATGTCAGGCCAAGCAAGAAAATTCCGTTACGTTGTTCACTTGCTCCATAAATCCAGTTTGGCATTTGGATAATTGATTTATCTGCGAATAGCACAAGGATTGCAATTTGACACATACATTTTGAACAATAAAATAATTTTGGTCAGGACTGTTTTCTGTAACACTGATAGAATCCCTAAATCTATAAACCCAAGACTTTAAGTTGAGCCATATTATTCGTGACATAATGAACACACATTCCTCTTCTCTCTCATACACAGAGACACACACAGACACACACACACACAGACACACATTCATTCATACACACAAACATGATTTTATGATGTTGACATGTCAGGCATTTTTTCCTATAATTGTACATGGATGGATATTCTCCCAATCACCGTTATAGTATTTTTTTCCCATAGAAAAACAACCGTAAAAAGAGGAGGAGCAGAGGCTTTAATTCGTGATTTAATTTCCCAGTTTCTTTTTTCTAACTACTCATATTCATGAGGCTACAGTGCAGTTTGTTATTCTGGTTATTTTTAACTTGTTTCGGGGTAACTATAAAACATCAGGTGAGTTCAATTTGAAATTAAGGATGATGCCACCACATTTCAGAATTAGCTGAACTGAGTGAATATCTGAGGCTGGAGTAAGATAAGCCCTGGTAGTTAGATTTGTGAATTTATGCCACATCCAAACAGAATGGCCCAAGAATGTCATCAAACACTTCTGGAAACATATCCTGGAAGAGAATAAAACAGCATGATGCAAGGCAACATTCCCCAGATGTATTTGAAACTTTAGAATTCACCTGGAGAACTGTCATGTTTAGAATTCAGGGCATTTTGCAAATCAAAACCCAATTTAAGGATGACTGTGAAAAATTATATGGATCTGTTTAGAAAACATAATTTTAAGGTGAGGGAACAAAAGCACCATAATTTATTGGACAGAGTGTGTTTTTTAGAATCTGATGCCTTATTTTTACATTTTATTTTCACTGACTGTTAGCCACATGATATTGTGTACAGATCTTAGTCTCACTGTGCCTAAACTTTTTTTATATATAAAATGGGAAAAATAACAAATGGAATGGAGGAATTAAAGAATATCATGATTAAATATATCAAGCTTTGTATCCTAAAGGTAAACCTATAACTTACCCTGTACTCCAAATCTTGATAAAAGAACACAAGTAAACAAAATTTTGCATATCATTATTTTTAATCTTTAAATTATTTATCGTTGTAGTATTAGGAGAGAAAATAAATGAACTCAGTACTCAACTCAAGGTAAATAACAAGCAATTATATTCAGAAAAATGATGTAATACAGAAACACATCAGGCAATAAAAAATTAGACTTGATAACTAAATTCAAAAGCTTTTTGATATTTTAAAAATACTAACAAAACTGAAGAATAGAAATGAGCTCAATAAGAAACAAATATGGTAATACCACCAAAGGATATTATTTGTGAATAATATTTAGAAAGGTATTATGTGTAGCTCATAAAAGATTTAAAAATAACTAGATAGGTATTTTTCAAAACAAAATAAGTCTCTTCTTAATGGAATCATCAAAAAAAGAACCAAAGAAAAAGAGAAAAAAGAATAACATGTATTAAAGACTTCAGATAAAACATAGATCTTTTCAAAACCAAAAAAAAAATAAAATCAATATATATTTCATAAGAAAGGATATTTTAAAATGAAAATATAATGGTATAAGATACAAAACAAAACTGATGAGCTCAGCTACATAAAGTTATGGAACACCTTAGAAAAATGATTGCAACAAGTATGACAACTGTTATTATAGAAGCAGTTATTAACAAATTAAAATGTTTACTCACACCATTAATGTGTGAATTAAGGTGTAAATAAGGGGAAAACTAATAGATAATTCTCAGAAAAAAATTAGACATCTAAAAAGTCCTCTATTTCAAAAGTTACCAAAGAAATGCAATTTTAAAACAGTGAAATACTGACAAATTGGCAAAGATTTATGATAGTTGTGTTATTCAGTGGTGGTGAATGTGTGTTGACATAAAACATTCTAGAAGGAAGTTTGACCCCTTATTATAATAAGGGTTTTATAACTAGTTATGACCCTTGGCACTGTATTCCTTATGTTTAGAAATCTACTCTAGATAAAAAATATAGACAAAATTATGTGTACAACTTGTGTTTCACAATATTTTTATACTAATAAAAAGGTAAAAAAAACCCCGAATATACATAAAGAGAAACAGTTAAATGAATTATAGTTATTATATGTCAAGTGGACATTAAAGTTATTTGCAAAAGAATTAATGGGGTGGAAAGAGTATTTCAATATAACATTGAGTGGGAAATACAAAATATAAAACAGTTTATATATTATGACCCAAATTGTTTAAAATGCCATATATCCACTAAAAATATATCTGAAAAAAGTACATCAAGGATAATAATGCTTATATGAATTATGGGATTAAGGGAAATTTTAATGTTCTTTTAAAGAGTTTCTGATCTTAGTTTTCTACAGAGAGAATTTATTACCTTTGTAGTCAGTAAAATAATTTAATAAAAGTTTTATTATCAAGTCAGGATCTATAATATCCTGGGTAAATGTTTTTGTTAGTGGACTATTTTGGTCATTATTCATAAAAATCTGTAACAGTAGAAATACATGTTTAAATATAACTCACCTGTAAATTGAAGACCCTAGTATTATCTTGAGAAAAAATGACTAATAAGGTAAAGAAGTAATGGGGTCATTCAATAGCAAGACATCTTATTTGTAGAGAGCAGTTTGCATGGAGTTAGCATTCACTGGCTCATCACTAACTGCTGCTTTGCAGATTTCATCCATTTTTAACTTAAGTATTATATATGTTTTCCTCAATTGGTGACTTAAAATGACTGGTAAGAGAAACTTCCTAAATACAGCTGAGTTCATGGGCTGGATTTATTTTGCTCTGTTGGGTCACATCATCCTGTGAGTGTGAGACACAAGCATCTGAGCTCAGAAATGAATGTGAATTTCTCTTGTCAGCTTCCAAAGGCTGACTTCGGTTTCCATTAGTCTTCAACAGATATTGATGGGAAAAATACCTAGCCATTGAAGGACATCTTTCCCCAAGTCTCCTTAGAACACATTTGCCAGGCTTTCTTGGTGACCAGGTGAAGTGTATTATAAAAATCACTTGATCTGAGGTCTAACCCAATTTATAGCCCTGAATATTGAAAACTAAGTTAAAACAGAAAAATCTGGGATTGCAAGCACAATGAAATCAGCAACAAATCGAAGTTGTTTTGAAGTAGCAGGTCTCTATTTTAAGTCACTTATTTTAAGTCTTTTTTTTTTTTTTTTTTTTTTTTTTTTTGGTAAGCGTGTGCACAGGCTGGAGACAGCTCCTTTGGTCCTGGGAAGTCTGGATCCAAATTTGGAAATTCAGAAGGAAACAGCATCTGTGATTTGTGGCTGGTTGTGGTCTTCCTGGGTCAGAAATCCTGAGTCTGTCCTTATCAACATTTTCAGATGTGGATTCAGGAAAATATTTAATGGATATTATTCAAGTGCGAGGAGTTAGGAATGCTCTGAGATTAGAATTAGCATCAGCCAAGGTGGTAGCCAAAACAATTTATCCTGTTCTCTCTTGTGACCATGACATCTGTGACCAAAGGGTTGGGGGAAAGCCAGCTAGGCTAGGTTAACAGCCTTTCTTATGACTGTGGTTAGAAAGTGATCTTAAATCCTGAGACCCAAGACCCAGAATGTTCTAGTCATTGTGGGTATGGATCCATCGGCCAATCAGAGCCTATAAAACAACTCTAATAATACCTGCCCCATAGAGTTATAGGGAGAATTGAGCAAGATAACATGTGAAGACATCTACATCAGTGAAAAACTGCTATTTTATTAATACTCCAAAGATAGACATGTAGGCTAGAGAAACTGCTCTTTAGTATTATAAATCTGAATCATGCTTAAGAGTAAAAGTTCTACTGACTTTTTTTTTTTTTTTTTGGAGATGCAGTTTTGCTCTTTTGCCCAGGCTGGTGTGAAGTGGTGCAGTCTTGGTTTACTGCAACTTCCTCCTCTGGGTTTAAGCGATTCTCCTGCCTCAGCCTCCTGAATAGCTGGGATTATAGGCACCTGCCACCACACCTGGCTAATTTTTGTATTTTTAGTAGAGATGGGGTTTCGCCATGTTGGCCAAGTTGGTCTCGAACTCCTGACCTCAGGTGATCCACCTGCCTTGACCTCCCAAAGTGCTAGGATTACAGGCCTGAGCCACTGTGCCCAACCTCTACTGATTCTTCTTACTAATTAGGTGACCTTGTTTCCTCAGTCTTGAGTTTCTACACCTGTAAAAAGGGGGGTGATAATAGTTCTTGCCTTCTAGGACTGTTGCGGTGGTTACATGAGATAATGCATGTAAAGTACTTAGAATGGTGGCTGGGGAAGCATAAAGGCTTACTGTTATCTGTTATCATTTTCTGTAAAGGAAATCAGAACTCATGGTGTGATTGATTCAGGCTTCTGGCAAGAATTGTCTCAACTCATATATATATAGTTTGTCTTCCTTACTCTTATGGTTGGTAGGATGTAGGGAGTTCTAGAAATTAGGAGATAAGAAAAGCCAGATTTTGAAGTATTAAATACTGATTCATAAGTCATAATTATGAAATATTCCTATGAGTGATCTTCTCTCCACTAAAACATCTGACAATGAAGTGATGATTCCCTGAAGTGGTTACAGGAGATAAAGGAAATGAGGATACACTGAAAATTAACAAATTATCAGCACTATCACTCTGCTAAGTGTGGAATCTCATCTAATTCACACCTAGTCCCTGTGAGGAAGGTATTTATTCCATTTTATATGTAAGGAAATTGATGCTCACTCTACGTATCATTTGGTCAAGGTCAAAGAGCAAATAACTGGCAGTTCAAATTTAAATCCAGATTGATTTAATTCTAAGCCTGAGCTCTAACTATTATGCCATTATATGTGATTATATACTGATTCCATGCTGTGTCTCATCCATTGGGTGTGATGGGAGAGGAGGTGCTGACACATACCAGCTTTGCGTTGCTTAGCAAACTTTGATTCCACCACCAATGGCAAGCAGAGAAAATTCCTCCATCAGATAACATGGGCATCAGTAGTTTATAAAAGAGGCATAGAGAAAAGAGAATGCCTCTCATCTTCCTTTCCTACCTTCGGCCCTCATCCAGGGGAATTGCTTCAGCGCTGTCTTGGAATAGTTGATTCTGGAAATTTCCTGATGCCTGTGGAGTGGAAGGGAAGACTGAACAGAATTCAGACTTAGGACCAGGGACATCCTCTACATGAATGGGATCTGGTAGGGTCTTGAGAAATAATATACAATAGACATAACCTGGGTATGATTTCAAATACTTCTATTTACCACATGGCTCTATGCTTACCACTTAAGATCCCTTAACGTACTTGAGCCTGTAAAACAGCCTTAAATAAAGGTTATTGGGGAGAATACCAAAAGACAGCATGTGAAATCCATCTAGTGCATTATGAATGGAAAATATTTAGAAAGTATTTTCTGAACTAAATTGAGAGAGAGATGTTTGCATTTTCCATGCTGCTATAATGTTGGCTATCTTTATAAACTACTGGCCAAGCTGTGTGATTTTGGGCAAGTTACTCAACTTCTCTGTACCTCAGTTTCCTCTTGCGCAAAACAGAATAATATTACTACGTGGAGTTGCATGAGAACCAAAGTAGTCACTAAAGAGGGAAGAAAGGTTGAGGATGTTTTTTTTTTTTTTTAAGAGGGGGGAAAATTGATGTTTAAATGCTAGTGGGAAGAAGCTAGGGAGAGACAGAGGGAGAGAGAAAGAAAAAAATAGTTAAAGATACAAGAGGGCAGGAAGTATTCAATAAAGGCCTGTTGGATGGGTAGGCAGTTATTTACACACAGAAAAGTGATTTTCTATCTTCTTCCTCTTTAATAAAAATCTGTTTTGTTCTGGTGTTAGGTGGTCATATGTTTGGGGCCAAATGGAGTCCATCCAGGCCACAAGTGTGAATCAGGATTAGTTGAAACCAATTATAATAATGCAAATAGTCACTATATTATTTGCAATCATGCACGTTAGTCACTTCAGGGGGAAGTGGGGTTGAGGATAGTTTTTTTTTTTTTAAGAGGGGGTAAAATTGATGTTTAAATGTTAGTGGGAAGAAGCTAGGGAGAGACAGAGAGAGAAAGAAAGAGAAGTTAAAGATACAAGAGGGTAAGAAGTAATCAATAAAGGCCTGTTGGATGGGTAGGCAGTTATTTACCCACAGAGAAGCTATTTTCTATCTTATTCAGCTTTAATAGAAATCCATTTTGTTCTGGTGTGAGGTGGTCATGTGTTTGGGACAAAGTGGAGTCCATCCAGGCCATAGGTGTGAATCAGGATTAGTTGAAACCATTTATAATAATGCTCTTCACTTACCAGTGATTTACATAGGCATGTGACACAATTCCAGCCCATGAGACAAGAAAGAAAAACTGCTGGAGAGCTTCTGTGTGATGCTTCTCTGATCCTAAAAGGGGAGTCATGAGGAAAAATGTCTCTTCTGAACAATGCCTTCTGCAAAAGATATGGAATTACTAATTAGTGGTAACCACTGGCATTTTGGACTGGGGAGTTTCCCAAAACAGCTAAAAAGTACACACTTATTTGAAAAGTGATTGCTCATTTATTATTGGACTTCAGTTGAAACTGCTTTTATTACTGAAGGAGATACTGTTATTATTTTTTTACCACTTTTTTTCTTCCGACTTTTAGGTTCAAGAAGTACATGTGCAGATTTGTTACATGGGTAAATGGTATGTTGTGGGGGTTTTGTGCACAGATAATTTTGTCACCCAGGTAATTAGCAAAATACCTGATAGGTAGCTTTCAATTCTCACCCTTCTCCCAACCTGTACTCTCAATTAGGTGCCAATGTCTATTGTTCCCCCTGCCACTGCTTTTTTTTTTTTTTTTTGAGGTGGAGTCTCATTCTGTCTCCCAGGCTGGAGTGCAGTGGTTCGACCTTGGCTCACTGCCACCTCTGCCTCCTGGGTTCGAGTGATTCTCCTGCCTCAGCCTCCCGAGTAGCTGCAATTACAGGTGCCTGCCACAACGCCCAGCTAATTTTTGTATTTTTAGTAGAGATGGTTCACCATGTTGGCCAGGCTGGTCTCGAACTCCTGACCTCAAGTGATTCACCCACCTCGGCCTCCCAGAATGCTGGGATTACAGGCGTGAGCCACTGTGCCTGGTTATTGTTCCCTTCTTTGTGTCCATGTGTACACAATGTTTAACTTCCATTTATAAGTGAGAACATACGGTATTTGGTTTTCTGTTCCTGCATTAATTTGCTTAAGGTAATGGCATCAAGCTCCATCCACGTTGCTGCAAAATACATGATTTCATTCTTATATTTTTTTGAGGGCTTCATTCTTTTTTATGGCTGTGTAGGACATGCGTTATTTTGAGATGGGAAATACCCAATGTCTTGAGCTATATCAGATAGTCATCCCAGCAGGTAGGAAAATGAACAGGATAATTCCCTTATAAAAGAGAAATGCAAATTCGAAAATACATGAAGGTGGGAGAACACACTGCATCCATAAACACATGGCTGCTTGGCCTCTGAGCTCCCTGTTTGATCACCCTGAAGAGTTAGCTAACCTCTGTTAGCCAGGCTGGAGTGCAGTGGTGCGATGACAGCTCACTGTAACCTTGACTCCTGGGCTCAAGTGATCCTCCTACCTCAGCCTCCCAAATAGCTGGAGCAGGGATTACAGGCACACACCACTGCACCCAGCTAATTTTTAAAAAATTCATTTTTTGTAGACACAGAGGTCTCACTGTTACCCAGGCTGGTCTCAAACTCCTGGGCTTAAAGGATCCTCCAGCCTTAGCCTCCCAAAGTGCTGGCATTACAGGTGAAAGCCATCATGCCTGGTCCACTATCACCATTTCTATTAAACATAGTATTATAGGTCTTATCCAGTACAATAAGACAGGAAAATAAAAAGAAATATTAAAATTGGAAAAGAAGAAATCAAACTGTCATTATTCACAGATGACATGATTTATATATAATGTCAAGGGCTAAACTGAGTTGGAGAGATGGAGTTGACCTCTCAGGTTTAGAGTAGTCCATTAAAGCAAAAAGCCAAAAATAAAAGAAACAGTAAAGCTTTTAATCATTTACTTAAATACTTATAAGCAAGAGTTCAAAACCATAGAAACCACCAACTCCCTTTTGTTCTATTTTTTTCCCTGTGGACCAGTGCACCAGCTAAGGGTCAGATGGATCACTACAAACACAGGCATAATATCACTGCTGAGGGAGCCCCAAACAAAACATTGCCTGCATCCCTCATATGAAACCCACTTGATCATGGTGGATTATCTTTTTGATATGCTGTTGGATTTGACTAACTAGTATTTTGTTGAGGATTTTTGCATCAGGGATATTTGTTTGTTGTGTTGTTGTTGTTGTTGTTGTTGTTATGTCCTCTCCCAGTTTTGGTGTTAGGGTGATACTGGCTTCATAGAATTATTTAGGGATGTTTCCCTCTTTCTCTATCATGTGGAATAGTTTCAGTAAGATTGGTACCAATTCTTCTTTGAGTGTCTGATAGAATTCACCTGTGAATCTGGCTGGTCCCAGACTTTCTTTGTTGGCATTTTTTAAATTATTATTTCAATCTCACTACTTGTTATTGATCTGTTCAGGGTTTTTATGTCTTCTTCGTTTAGTCTAGAAGGGTTGTATATTTCCAGGAATTTATCCATCTCCTTTAGATTTTCTAGTTTATGCACATCAAAGTGTTCATAGTAGCCTTGAATGATCTTGTATTTCTGTGGTATCAGTACTAATAGCACCTGTTTCATTTCTAATTGAGCTTATTTGTATCGCTCTCTTCTTGGTTAAGCTCCCTAACAGTCTATCAATTTTATTTATTCTTTTCTTTCATTTTTTTTTCTGAGACACAGTCACTCTGTCACCCAGGCTGGAGTGCAGTGGCACAATCTTGGCTCACTGCAACCTCCACCTCCTGGGTCCAAGTGATTCTCCTGCCTCAGCCTTCTAAGTAGCTGGAATTACAGGTGCACACTACCATGCCCAGCTAATTTTTGTATCTTAGTAAAGATGGGGTTTTGCCATGTTAGCCAGGCTGGTCTCAGACTACTGACTGTAAGTGATCTGCCTGCCTTGGCCCCCCACAGTGCTGGGATTACAAGTGTGAGCCACCATGCCAGGTCTTATCTTTTCTTTCTTTTTTTTTTTTTTCTTTTCTTCATTAATTTCTTTTCATTATATTTTAAGTTTTAGGGTACATGTGCACAACATGCAGGTTTGTTACATACGTATACAAGTGCCATGTTGGTGTACTGCACCCATTAACTCATCATTTAACATTAGGTATATCTCCTAATGCTATCCCTCCCCCCTCTACCCACCCCACAACAGACCCCAGTGTGTGATGTTCCCCTTCCTGTGTCCATGTGTTCTCATTGTTCAATTCCCACCTATGAGTGAGAACATGTGGTGTTTGGTTTTTTGTCCTTGTGATAGTTTGCTGAGAATGATGGTTTCCAGCTTCATCCATGTCCCTACAAAGGACATGACAATGGGGTTTTCTAGATATACAATCATGTCATCTGCAAACAGGGATAATTTGACTTCCTCTTTTCCTAATTGAGTACCTTTTCCTGCCTGGTTGCCCTGGCCAGAAATTCCAACACTATGTTGAATACGAGTGCTAAGAGAGAGCATCCCTGTCTTGTGTTAGTTTTCAAAGGGAATGCTTCCAGTTTTTGCCCATTCAGTATGATATTGGCTGTGGGTTTGTCATAGATAGCTCTTATTATTTTGAGATACGTCCCATCAATACCTAATTTATTGAGAATTTTTAGCATGAAAGGTTGTTGAATTTTGTCAAAGGCCTTTTCTGCATCTATTGAGATAATCATATGGTTTTTGTCGTTGGTTCTGTTTATATGCTGGATTACGTTTATTGATTTGGGTATGTTGAGCCAGCCTTGCATCCCAGGGATGAAGCCCACTTGATCATGATGGATAAGCATTTTGATGTGCTGCTGGATTCGGTTTGCCAGCATTTTATTGAGGATTTCTGCATCGATATTCATCAGGGATATTGGTCTAAAATTCTCTTTCTTTGTTGTGTCTCTGCCAGGCTTTGGTATCAGGATGATGCTGGCCTCATAAAATGAGTTAGGGAGGATTCCCTCTTTTTCTATTGATTGGAATAGTTTCAGAAGGAATGGTACCAGCTCCCCCTTGTACCTCTGGTAGAATTCGGCTGTGAATTCATCCGGTCCTGGACTTTTTTTGGTTGGTAAGCTATTAATTATTGCCTCAATTTGAGAGCCTGTTATTGGTCTATTCAGAGATTCCACTTCTTCCTGGTTTAGTCTTGGGAGGATGTATGTGTCAAGGAATTTATCCACTTCTTCTAGATTTTCTAGTTTATTTGCATAGAGGTAGAGGTGTTTTATAGTATTCTCTCATGGTAGTTTGTATTTCTGTAGGATCGGTGGTGATATCCCCTTTATCATTTTTTATTGCATCTATTTTATTCTCTCTTTTCTTCTTTATTAGTCTTTCCAGTGATCAATCAATTTTGTTGATCTTTCCAAAAAACCAGCTCCTGGATTCATTGATTTTTTGAGGGTTTTTTGTGTCTCTATCTCCTTCAGTTCTGCTCTGATCTTAGTTATTTCTTGCCTTCTGCTAGCATTTGAATGTGTTTGCTCTTGCTTCTCTTGTTCTTTTAATTGTGACATTAGGGTGTCAATTTTAGATCTTTCCTACTTTCTCTTGTGGGCATTTAGTGCTATAAATTTCCCTCTACACACTGTTTTGAATGTGTCCCAGAGATTCTGGTGTGCTGTGTCGTTGTTCTCATTGGTTTCAAAGAACATCTTTATTTCTGCCTTCATTTCGTTATGTACCCAGTAGTCATTCAGGGGCAGGTTGTTCAGTTTCCATGTAGTTGAGCAGTTTTGAGTGAGTTTCTTAATCCTGAGTTCTAGTTTGATTGTACTGTGGTCTGAGAGACAGTTTGTTATAATTTCTGTTCTTTTACATTTGCTGAGGAGTGCTTTACTTCCAACCATGTGGTCAATTTCGGTATAGGTGTGGTGTGGTGCTGAAAAGAATGTATATTCTGTTGATTTGGGGTGGAGAGTTCTGTAGATGTCTATTAGGTCCGCTTGATGCAGAGCAGAGTTCAATTCCTGGATATCCTTGTTAACTTTCTGTCTCATTGATCTGTCTAATGTTGACAGTGGGGTGTTAAAGTCTCCCATTATTATTGTGTGGGAGTCTGAGTCTCTTTGTAGGTCTCCAAGGACTTGCTTTATGAATCTGGGTGCTCCTGTATTGGGTGCATATCTATTTAGGATAGTTAGTTCTTCTTGTTGAATTGATCCCTTTACCATTATGTAATGGCCTTCTTTGTTTCTCTTGATCTTTGTTGGTTTAAAGTCTGTTTTATCAGAGACTAGGATTGCAACCCCTGCCTTTTTTTGTTTTCCATTTGCTTGGTAGATCTTCCTCCATCCCTTTATTTTGAGCCTGTGTGTTTCTCTGAATGTGAGACGGGTTTCCTGAATACAGCACACTGATGGGTCTTGACTCTTTATCCAATTTGCCAGTCTGTGTCTTTTAATTGGAGCATTTAGCCCATTTACATTCAAGGTTAATATTTTTATGTGTGGATTTGATCCTGTCATTATGATGTTAGCTGGTTATTTTGCTCGTTAGTTGATGCAGTTTCTTCCTAGCCTTGATGGTCTTTACAATTTGGCATGTTTTTGCAGTGGCTGGTACCAGTTGTTCCTTTCCATGTTTAATGCTTCCTTCAGGAGCTTTTTTAGGGCAGGCCTGATGGTAACAAAATCTCTCAGCATTTGCTTGTCTGTAAAGGATTTTATTTCTCCTTCACTTATGAAACTTAGTTTCGCTGGATATGAAATTCAGGGTTGAAAATTCTTTTCCTTAAGAATGTTGAATATTGGCCCCCACTCTCTTCTGGCTTGTAGGGTTTCTGCTGAGAGATCCGCTGTTAGTCTGATGGGCTTCCCTTTGTGGGTAACCTGACCTTTCTCTCTGGCTGCCCTTAACATTTTTTCCTTCATTTCAACTTTGGTGAATCTGACAATTATGTGTCTTGGAGTTGCTCTTCTCGAGGAGTATCTTTGTGGAGTTCTCTGTATTCCCTGAATCTGAATGTTGGTCTGCCTTGCTAGATTGGGGAAGTTCTCCTGGATAATATCCTGCAGAGTGTTTTCCAACTTGGTTCCATTCTCCTCATCACTTTTAGGTACACCAATCAGACGGAGATTTGGTCTTTTCATATACTCCCATATTTCTTGGAGGCTTTGTTTATTTCTTTTTATTATTTTTTCTCTTAAGTTCTCTTCTCACTTCATTTCATCCATTTGACCTTCCATCACGTTACTCTTTCTTCCAGTTGATCGAATCATCTACTGAGGCTTGTGCATTCATCATGTAGTTCTTGTGCTTTGGTTTTCAGCTCCATCAGGTCCTTTAAGGACTTCTCTGCATTGCTTATTCTTGTTAGCCAGTCATCTAATTTTTTTTCAAGGTTTTTAACTTCTTTGCTATGGGTTCGAACTTCCTCCTTTAGCTTGGAATAGTTTGATCATCTGATGGCTTCTTCTCTCAATTCGTTAAAGTCATTCTCCATCCCACTTTGTTCCATTGCTGGTGAGGAGCTGTGTTCCTTTGGAGGAGGAGAGGCGCTCTGATTTTTAGAGTTTCCAGTTTTTCTGCTGTTTTTTCCCCATCTTTTTGGTTTTATCTACCTTTGGTCTTGATGATGGTGACGTACAGATGGGGTTTTGGTGTGGATGTCCTTTCTGTTTGTTAGTTTTCCTTCTAGCAGACAGGACCCTCAGCTGCAGGTCTGTTGGAGTTTGCTAGAGATCCACTCCAGACCCTGTTTGCCTGGGTATCCTCAGAGGTTTCTGCAGAACAGCAGATTTTTGTGAACCGTGAATGCTGCTGTCTGATCGTTCCTCTGGAAGTTTTGTCTCAGAGGAGTACCTAGCCCTGTGAGGTGTCCATCTGCCCCTACTGGGGGGCCAGGGACTGACTTGAGGAGGCAGTCTGTCCATTCTCAGATCTCCAGCTGCATTCTGGGAGAACCACTACTCTCTTCAACTCTATCAGACAGGGACATTTAAGTCTGCAGAGGATTCTGCTGCCTTTTGTTTGGCTATGCCCTGCCCCCAGATGTGGAGTCTAGAGAGGCAGGCAGGCCTCCTTGAGCTGCAGTGGGCTCCACCCAGTTGGAGCTTCCCAGCCGCTTTGTTTACCTACTCAAGCCTTGGCAATGGCAGGTGCCCCTCCCCCAGCCTGGCTGCCACCTTGCAGTTTGATCTCAGACTGCTGTGCTAGCGATGAGTGAGGCTCCACAGGCGTAGGACCCTCTGAGCCGGGCACAGGTTATAATATCCTGGTGTGTCATTTGCTAAGAGCATTGGAAAAGCGCAGTATTAGGGTGGGAGTGACCCACTTTTTCTGGTGCTGTCTGTCACCCATTTCTTTGACTAGGAAAGGGAATTCCTTGACCCATTGCGCTTCCTGGGTGAAATGATGCCTCACCCTGCTTTGGCTCATGCTCGGTGTGCTGCACCCACTGTCCTGCACCCACTTTCTGACACTGCCCAGTGAGATGAACCCGGTACCTCAGTTGGAAATGCAGAAATCACCCATCTTCTGCATTGCTCACGCTGGGAGCTGTAGACTGGAGCTGTTCCTCTTCAGCCATCTTGGCTCCACCCCTATATCTTTTCAAATAATCAGGTTTTTTTTGTTTCATTTATCTTTTTTTTGTTTCATTTATCTTTTTTTTTGTTTGAATTTCATTTAGTTCTGCTTTTATCTTTGTATTCCTTTTCTTCTGCTGGGTTTGGGTTTGGATTGTTCTTGTTTCTCCAGTCCCCTGAGGTGTGACCTTAGATTGTCTATTTGTGCTTTTTCAGACTTTTTAATGTCGGCATTTAATGCTATAAGCTTTCCTGTTAGCACTGCTTTTGTTGTGTTTCAGAGGTTTTGATAACAGTGTGCCACTATTATCATTCGGTTCAAAGAATTTTTTAATATTCATCTTGATTTCATTGTTGACCCAGTGATTATTCCGGAGCAGGTTATTTAGTTTACATGTATTTGCCTGGTTTTGAGGGTTCCTTTTGGAGTCAATTTCCAATTTTTTTCCCACTGTGGTCTGAGAGAGTATTTGATATAATTTCAATTTTCTTAAATTTACTGAGACTTGTTTTGTGACCTATCATATGGTCTATCTTGGAAAATATGCTGATGAATAGAATGTATATTCTGCAGTTGTTTGGTAGAATGTTCTGTAAACATCTGTTAAATCCATTTGTTATAGGGTGTAGTTTAAGTCCATTGTTTCTTTGTTGACTTTCTGTCTTGATGACATGTCTAGTGCTGTCAGTAGAGTATTAAGTTATCCCAATGTAATTGTGTTGCCATCTATTTTATTTCTTAGGTCTAGTAGTAATTGTTTTATAAATTAGGGAGCTCCAGTGTTAGGTGCATGTATATTTAGGATTGTGATATTTTCCTGTTGGACTATTCCTTTTATCATTATATAATGTTCCTCTTTGTCTTTTTTAAACTGTTGTTGCTTTAAAGTCTGTTTTGTCTGATCTAAGAATAGCTACTCCTGCTCACCTTTGGTGTCCATTTACTTGGACTATCTTTTTTTACCCCATTTAACTCAGGTTTCTGTGAGTTCTTATGTGTTAGGTGAGTCTCATGTAGACAGTAGAAACATGGTTGGTGACTTATCCATTCTGTGTCTTTTAAGTGAGGCATTTAGGCCATTTTACATGAAATGTTAGTATGAAGATGAGGTACTAGTCTATTCATCATACTATTTTTTTGCCTGAATATCTTTGTTTTTTTTTATTGTGTTATTGTTATATAGGTCCTATGAGATTTATGTGTTAAGCAGGTTCTATTTGATTTATTTTAAGGATTTGTGTCAAATTTTCATCTCCTTTTAGCAGTTCTTGTAGTGCTGGCTTGATAGTAGTAAATTATCTCAGCATTTGTTTGTCTGGAAAAGACTGTATCTTTCCTTCATTTCTAAAACTTAGTTTCACTGGATACAAAATTCTTGGCTGATTTTGTTTAAGGAGGCTAAAGATAGGACATCAATCCCTTCTAGCTTGTAAGGTTTCTGCTGAGAAATCTGCTGTGACTCTGTTAGAGTTTTTTTTATAGGTTACCTGATGCTTTTGACTCACAGATCTTAAGATTCTTTCCTTCATCTTGAATTTAGATAACCTTATAACTATGTACATAGGCGGTGATCCTTTTGCGATGAATTTTCCACGTGTTCTTTGAGTTTCTTGTATTCAGATGTCTAGATCCCTAGGAAAGCTGGGGGATCTTTTTCTCAAAGATTCCTCCAAATATGTTTTCCAAACTTTTAGATTTCTCTTCTTCCTTAGGAGCACCAATTATTCTTAAGTTTGGATGCTTAACATAGTCCCAAACTTCTTGGAGGCTTTGTGCATTTTTTTTTTAAATTATTTTTCCATTGTCTTTGATAAATTGGGTTAATTTGAAAGCCTTGTCTTTGAGCTCTGAAGTTCTTTCTTCTGCTTCTTTGATTCTATTGTTGAGACTTTCCAGTGTGCATTTCCCTAAGTGTGTCCTTGATTTCCAGAAGTTATGATTTTTTAAATTTATGCTATTTCACTAAAGAATTTTCCTTTCATATCCTTTATCATGTTTTTGATTTCTTTAAATTGGACTTCACATTTCTCTGTTTCCTCCTTGATTAGCTTAATAATCAACTTCTGAATTCTTTTTCTGGCAATTCAGAGATTTCATCTGGGTTTGGATCCACTGTTGGTGAGCTGGTGTGATCTTTTGGGGGTGTTAAAGAACCTTGTTTTGTCATATCACTAGAATTGTTTTTCTGGTTCCTTCTCATTTGGGTAGACTGTGTCAGAGGGAAGATATCGGGCTCAAGTGCTGCTGTTCCTATTCTTTTGTCCCCCAAGGTGCTCCCTTGATGTGGTATTCTCCCCATTCCCCTATGGATGGGCCTTACTGAGAGGCAAACTGCAGTTATTGTTTTTGCTCTTTTGGGTCTAGTCACCCAGTGGAGCTGCCGTGCTCCAGAGTGGTACTGGGGAGTATCAACAAAGAGTCCTTTAATGTCGTCTGTCTTCAAGTCTTTCAGCTGTGGATACCAGCACCTTGCTCCAGTGGAGGTAGCAGGGGAGTGAGGTGGATTTTGTGAAGCTTCTTGGTTGTATTTTTGTTTGGTGCACTGGTTTGGTGTTGGTTGGCCTCCAGCCAGGAGGTGGTGCTTTCAAGAACACATTAGGTGTGGTACTATAGACAGGATACAAACTTGCCCTAGGGCCACCTGGTTAAGTTTTCAGGTTTCTCAGGTGGTGGGAAGGGCCATAGAGCTCCCAAGAGATTATGTTCTTTGTCTTTGTCAATCAGGGTGGGTAGAGCAAGGCTAGCAGTTAGAGGCAGGTTTAGGTATGTCTGAGCTCAGACTCTCCTTGGATGAGGCTTGCTGTGGCTGCTGTGGGGATGGGAGTCTGGTTCTGAGAGCAATGGGGTTGTGTTCCCAGAGAGATTATGGCTGCCTCTGCTGAGTCATACAGGTCACCAGGAAAGTGGGGCAAAGCTGGCAGTTACAGGCCTCACCCTGCTTCCATACAGTCTGCAGTGCTAAAGGCCAGTCTCACTCTCATTGTGCCCCCACAACAGCACCAAGTCTACTTTCAGGCAGCTGGCTACCAGGGCTATAAACTTTCCCCATACCACCAGTCTCCCTATCAAGAAAACAAGTAGACTCACAGTTTTTCAGCATCTCAGGGAGTCTGCAGCAGTGGTTCAATTCCTTCAAAGCATCCGTGGATTCTCTCAGGTTTCCTGGTATGTTCATATGGTAGTTCCTGGAGCAAAAGGTTATGCTGTGCATCTTCACATGCTTCTCTGTCTGAGCAGGAACTGCAAGCTAGTCCTGCCTCCTTTCAACCATCTTCCCTATTACCATTTTCTAATTAATCTTTCTGTTTTGTGGTCTTCTTTTCTTTCTGAAGTGGTGTTGTGTGTCTGGGGTAAATGCTCAATGTTCATCTTCTCATGCCAAAGAAATTGAGCATGTGGGCACACAAGAAGTGAGTTTAATGGTAGAGATTTAATAGGTGAGAGAAAACAGAAAAACTCTCCTGCAGAGAGAGAGAGTGACTCCTGAGTGGGTCTTCTGGTTTTGTAGTGAAATGCATCGGGTTTTATAGATGAGCTTGAGGAGGTGGTGTCTGATTTACATAGGGCCCAAAAGATTGATTGGACCAGCTGTGCCATTTACATAGCATGTGAAGAAGCTGGCTGCCCCATCCTAATCTTCTATTATGTGAATGGGTTCTCTACTTGGTTGGTGCCATGTTGCCTGCTTCTTTACTGCACACGTGGTTGACAAAGAAATGGGAAAATTGAGCCTCCATGCTCAATATGCCTGGCCCCCAGTTAGCCTTTTCCTATTGGCACAGCTGCCAGCATTCACCCATGCAAGCTGCCAGCTTGCTTTTCCATGTCTGCAGCTTGATTTTTCAGGCTGCTCTTTGTTAGAAAAGAAATGATTTTGGGGCTGCTTTTTATTAAAAGGGGAACCTTACCAAGGACTCTTACCCTCACTATATGCCTAAGTAATTTATTTCTAGCCCTGTATTATTTCCCCCCATCAGCAGTGGCAACCCTAACTGCTGTTAGTGGGTGTTGGATGACAACTCTTTCTGCCTACTTCCTGCTGAAAGAGGGGCACTGTGTGGGGAACAGCTCCTCCTGGGGTCAATCTAAGGATCCTTGGAAGAATGGTGTGTTCATGTATGTTCCATCTTCAGTAGCATTTGGAGTTTAATGGCTTCTAGGCAAGAATAAAGAATTTGGGTTATTAGAGGACATGTATCAAAATAAAACAAGGTAGGGGTAAGGACAGCTTAAAAAATCCTGAGGCTGTGTAACCCCTTGATAACTGGTGACTATGGTTATGCTTGTTAAGACTTGGATGTATGGGGCTTGGCTTTTGTTAATTACCTTGGTTTTATTTTCCCAAAGAAAGCTCTGGGTTATGGGTAACATATTTACTTTCATTACCTGACAGGATTTGCAGGATAATTGCCAAGAACTAGCATATTTGTCCTGATTTTTATATTACCCATCCCTTTTTGTTTTTTTCTGAGCTGCAGGAGTTTACTACTTGATTCACAGGAATAAGCAGGGTTAGCCTAAAATGTATCAAAAAATTTAAAAACAACCAATGAGACTATAATTTAATGAAAAATGTATAAGTATTGGAGCATAATTTTCCTATCTCCAGTCCTCATTTTGAGTAAAACCAAATTATGATAGGATGGTGGTGTTTGTAGAAAAGATTACTTCAGACTTTTATTAGTGTAGTTCATAGAGTTAACTCCTGTTTGATATTCATGAACGTTTCAGCTCTTCATGAGTCCTGGACATTTTTTCTCTCTTCCAATGTTACAATTGTCAAAGCTATAAGAAACCTGCATTTGAGAATATGTGTTAAATTCCTATAGCTTGATTTTAAATCATCTTTTGAAAAGAACAAAGCAAGACAACAATTGTCTGTGAATGACAAAATTTCCAGGGTAGTTAAAATTAAAAACATGACTGACAGAGAAGTTTAGTTATCTTAGTGGTGTACAATAACTTAACATAACAACCTTCATTATAATTAATAGCACATACTCAGACAATAGAATTTTATAAATCCCACACAATTGTGGAGCATATATTAATATTATTCACTAAAATATAACCTGAATAATGTTAAACATCGTTTTGGCAATCTCACATACCTGAACATGTCAAATAAACCCGTTTACCTTTCTTTAGAATGCTTCAGGGGCCCTCTGTGGCATCCAGAAGCTAGAGTTCAGGAAAGACAACGTTGAAACTGAGGTTTGATTTTGGGAAGCCTGTTATATATGTTAGAGGTTTAAAACACTTCATGTTATGAAATAGAATTCCAGGTTACCACAAGTCATTTATTTTGCCATAATGATGAAAAAAGGGAAAAGCCTCTTATTAACCTTTACTATTACATGAAAATCCTGTTCAAAGCCAAATTTTACCCTTGTATTAGTTTATTAATGTGAACCCAATTTTTGAAGGGAGGCTCATTGACAATTCCATCTAATCTTAACCAATTTGACCATTAATTTTTACAAACCTTTTATAACCCTTTTGCCAAAGGGCAGATCAGTGTTTTAAGACACCCTTGCTGTGCTTTTATTTCAATGCTCAATTTATGAAAATACCATATAATACCCTTTTGAGATTAGTTTGTTTACACATGGGATTTTTCACAAGATTATTTTTTATAATCTTTCCAAAACTTGCTTAAACCTTCAGCTTTATCATATCTAATTTAAGACAATCCTTTATCCCTAGAAAAATGTACATTTTCATGCCTTCTTATAGTCTTTTACTAAAAACATATTTTACTGTTTTACACACCTTGCATGTACGTCTATTTTTAGTAGTTTAAATTGCATGTTATAATGCTAACTTTTAGCAATTTTTAACTTTAATGTGAAACCTGGTAAGTTGCTTTGATTATGTAGTAGGCACAGATTAAGTTTGAATTTTTCCAGCATAGTTAAGGACATGGATAATTTTGTATGTCCCCAGGCCTTACAAAGTTGTAAAGCAGGAGTTTACATGGAAATATTTAGTAAACCTAGTATCTGACTTACATGATTTAGACCACTTATTTGCATTTTGATGACACCTGTATTTTACTAATAATCCTTAAGACTATTTTTATTCCTTAAAAGTTAAAGTCACTTGAGCTAAAAGGCATTACAGCTTTTATCTTTCCTTTAAAAAATATTTAATTTAAGTGCTTATTTTTCTTTAAGCCAATCAATTGGAGCTCTTTTTATAGACATTACAAGTAACACACATAATTACAGAGACAAACAGAAAAAGACTCAGTTGTTATAAGATTTATCTCTAATTGGAATATTGGTCTCTGGGTGAGGCCCTTTAAGAGTGGGGCTAGGAGAGCATGAAGTTTTTAAGGAAGACAAAAACAGATTTTTGAGAGAGATCTATCTGCCACTAATTCCTGGCATTCCATTAGGAAAAACAGAGATTTCTCCCAAAACGAGATTTGTGGTGTCTTTTCTGTTTTCCCAAGAAGTCTCACACTATCAGAAATTATCTTGGGGCCTCTCGTGTGTGCATTAAGTAATGCATGCATTAAGAGTATTAAGAGTGGCAAAACAAAATGGAGAAAAGGAATTTAGTTGACTCAGAAAAAACATTTTTCAGAAAAACAAGATCTAAGAACAGAAAAACATAAAGGCCTTTTAAATACACCAATAACTTGGATATCCACTTTTATTTAAGCTGAGAGCTCTTTAAGAAAATCCCTTTAAATCCCTTGTTACTCAACTTTAGCCATACTAAGCAGTTAAGATGTTCAGCTTTTGAACTTTACCAAAAGTTACCTCACAGGTGAAATCAAAAGCCTTAGTTAGGTTATGACTTAACCGTGAGTATACAAGATATTTTCAAAGGAGGGGTAAGCAGCTTATGAAACAGTTTTTTGCGAAATTGTGACTGAGACAGTGAAATAGATCCAACCCAACCAACTGTATGTTGCCTCCAGCCCCCAAGCTGTCCTTGCCCATCCCTAGGCATATGTGGAATCAACTCTGGGAAGAGCTTGGTTTACAGTTTATAGTTTAAAACAAAGTCAATAGTAGCCCTTTCTCAAAATAAACCTCCCTTTTTTGCCTAGGGACCAGACCAAGAAACTAGGCACAAGATTAGAAACCATGGCTTAGGAGTCATGCAGCTGGAGGATACAAGATTTTGACCCTTCTAAACTGCTCCCAAGATGAGTGCTTAAGATATTTTGCAAACCCTGCCATTGTTGGATCAGCTGGCATCACCAAGATTGATAAACTGGTTTATCTAATTTTGTGGCCCCCATCCGGGAACTAATTTAGCACGAGAAGACAACTTTGACTCCCTATGATTTTATTTCTAGCTCTACAAGTCAGCATTCCTGTCTCATTGGCTCCCCCCACTACCAAGCTGTCCCCAAAAACTCTGCTCCCCAAACTCTCAGGAAGACCCATCTGAGCAACAACAAAACTCCCATCTCCCACACAACTGACTCTACTACAATTCCCCTGTTTTGATAAATCAGCTCTGCCTGGGCAGCATGCAAGGTGAACTCATTGGGCAGTTACACTATTACAAAATCTAGAACACTTAAAGGCAACTTAGAGGAAGATTTAAGAAAGGCAGATAGAAGTTGTTCATGACGGGAGAAGAGAATCAGCAAATGGTAAAATTAAAGTATTCATTTCCCAAGCCAGAATTGAATCTGAGCCACTATTGTAAAATGGTGGAGACTAAAATGTAGTATTGCCACATGGTTACAGGTCATGTTCCCAAGCACATAAAACAAGATGCAGCAAAGTTTGTTACTGACCATTTTGTTGGGACTGGCTTGAACAGCAGGCTTATGGGGTCCCAGGACTGCATCCTAGCCTGAGATATGCTTTCTCTTGACAAAGCCGTACAGAAAGACACACAAAGCACACTGGATGGGCTACAGCTTAAGACCAACCTCATAAATCATTTTTCATGAATTAAAATTTTACAGAAAATATAAATAGTGAAACTTATTATTCCTGTTACTATTTTGTACAGGGAGAGAGAAGCCAAAATCCTGACTGGTGAAAAAAAAAAAAACTTTTACCCTTTTTCTGGACTGTCATGTTTCTGGGTTCCCTTCCCTTGAGCTCAACTCTCAGCCCAGCATTTTAACGTTTGGGGAAATTAACTTTTCCAAGTTTGGAGGAACATTATAAAAGAAGAGATAGGAGCCATTTTAAACCACGTAAAGAGGAAGGAAAAATACCACAGAAAAGTCTGGGGTTTGTGTGGTGGAACTGAAATAGCTGACGATGTAAATAGGGGGAACAGGCAGGGCTGGGGCATCTGGAAGTTGCATTTAAGGGTTTCCTGGGGGGTCTGTTTCTTTAGTTTTGAGGAATCATTCCCATTGGGCCCACCTGATATGACTGCTAAAAGAGCTGAGTTGATTGTGCCGTGCTTGCAAAGGTCTAGTAACAAGCCCATACCCTTGTGCAAAAGAAAATGAGCTGCTTTTTTTCCAGTCTCAAGGTCAAAGGAATCCCAATGCTTCAGAATGCACTTCAGAGGAGTACAGGTTGAAGATGGTTTGTTACCCATCTAGAAAGAGAAGCCAGAAAAAAGTCACCCCTGTAATCTCCTTCCTTTTGTTGTGACCCAAGGTGGAGGGGAAGACGGCAGGAGTTTACCCCCTACTCTTTTCCCTCTTGGTTCCTGGGACTCCAGCACATTATTAAACATATTGTCCATGGTTGCAGGCATGACCCCCAGCCATGGAAGTGGAGGAACGAAGCAATTGGGATTACTCACACTTACCCATGCGACTCTAGTCTTCTGTTTATGATTTCCCGTTGACTTTTTAGACTGACATGGCCTATGTGGCTCCCAGAAAGAGGGATCTTGAAAAAGACTATGTAATAGTTGCCTTTGGGCAAGGCCCCTTTAATGGAGGGGGTGCGTTAGATTGAACTGTATATCCTGTTATTATGGCCCATGCCAAAGCGTTTACTCTTGTCTCCTTACTATGTAAGTACCATTTTAATTGGAGACAGAGTAGGTGACTTAAAAGAATGTAGGGACCAAATGGTGGTTTTCCTGCTGATGGGACACTATCGAGACTAACTTTTTTTTCAGAGACATTTTCCTCATCACTGTTGAAGGCAGAGTTTTTCTCTTTCACAGAAAAGGCATAAAGCTTGGTCCCTAGTAGAAGGGCACAAAAAGGGAGGAAAATTGGGAAGCTAAAGTGTTTTGGCAAAGGGCCAACAATGTGCCTCATGGAGAGGATTCCTATTCCACTAGGTGGCGCTGTTGACCTTGAAATACCATGTGCTCTCCAGACCAAGCGCAGAGAATAAGCTCACTGTGGGGGGTGGGGGAAGATCCTCTGTTACTAGAAAATCACAAAAACAGCGTTCTCTTGAGTTATGTTCCCAGTTACTATGGCATTTGCTGACCTTTCCTAACAGGACTATTTCGCTGAACTGTAAAAATTTCCGGAGCATTGCATATATAGAGATGATAGGAGACATGACAATTGCCGGTAGGAAAGGAGGAAATTGTGATAGAAAAGCTGGAGATCCTATTGCCGACGGTTGGTTGGGCAGTTGAAGGCTGGAGTTGGTCCAGAAGCCCTCAGATAACACCAGGGTGTAGTCCTGGCCAGAAATTCTTAGTTGCTCCGGGACCTCTTTAAGCCCCATACGATGGCTGGGTGCTCCAGGAAGGGAAACTGGTTTGAAACATAGCCAATATGCCCAGCAACCTGAGGGTGCTGGGGGATTCTCCATGATCTCCCCAGCAAGCTTGTCCCCTGGTCTTGTAAGGCTGGCAGCCACTCTAACCATTTTTAAATGGCTGACAAGGGCCCAGTATTTGGTTTGATTTGATATTAAAATGGAGGCCAAGAGCCTCAAAATGCAAGGATAGAGTTATGGTCTACTCCTATACTCACCCTTCTGATGATTATACCTGCATCCCAGGTGGAGCCCCAAAATGAAGCAGCATTGTTTGTCTCAGGTAAATACCCTACATTCATTGTCTCACTCCAAGGAAACTGAGGGTGTGGACACACAATAAGTGAGTCTAAAAGCAGAGGTTTAATAGGTGAGAGAAAAGCTCTCTCTTCTGCAGAGACAGAGGGACTCCTGAGTGGGTCCTCCAGTTCTGTGGTGAAATGCATGGGGTTTTATAGATGAACTTGAGGAGGCAGTGTCTGATTTTCATAGGGCCCAAAAGATTGGTATGTGACGAAGCTGGCTGCCCACCCTAATCTTTTATTATACAAAAGGGTTCTCTACCTGGTCAGTGCCATGTTGCCTGCTTCTTTACTGCACATGTGGTTGACAAAAGGGAAGATGGAGCCTCCATGTTGACCATGCCTGGCCCCCAGGTAGCCTTTTCCTATTGGCACAGCTGCCAGCATTCACCCATGCAAACTTACAGCTTGCTTTTCTATGTCTGCATCTTGATTTTTCAGGCTCTTCTTTGTTAGAAAAGAAATGATTTGGGGGCTGCTTTTTATGAACACGGAAACCTTACCAAGGACTCTCTTACCCTCACTATATGCCTAAATAATTTCTTTCTAGTTCCTGTGTCAGTTCTTTCTTTCCTTCCTATTCTTCTTTAGTGAAAATAATTTTCTCTGGTGATATGATTAGTTTCTTGCTTTTTATTTTTTATGGACCCATTGTATGTTTTTTGGTCTGAGGTTACCATGAGGCTTTTACATACTATCTTATAACCCATTATTTTAAGCTGATAACAACTTAGCACTGTTTGTACAAATAAACAAGCAAAAAAAAAAAAAAAACAACTAATAAGAACTCCACATCATAACTTTGTCCCCCTGCTTTTTAACTTTTTGTTGTTTCTATTTATATCTTATTGTCTATGTCCTCAAAAGTTGTTGTGGTTATTATTTTTGATTGGTTCATTGTTTAGTTTTTCTACTTAGGATAAGAGTAGTTTACATACCACAGCTATAGTGTTAAAATATTCTGTGTTTTCTGTGTACTTTCTACGACCAGTGAGGTTTGTACCTTTAAGTGATTACTTATTGCTCATTAACATTCTTTTCTTTCTGATTGAAGTACTTACTCCCTTTAGAATTTCTTGTTGGACAAGTCTGCTCTTGATGAAATCCCTCAACTTTTGTTTGTCTGGAAAAGTTTTTATTTCTCCTTCATGCTTGAAGGATATTTTTGCTAGATATCCTATTCTAGGGTAAAAGGTTTTTTTTCCTTCAGCACTTTAAATATGTTATACCACTCTCTTCTGGCTTGTAAGGTTTCCATTGAAAAGTCTTCTGCAAGGCATATTGGAGCTCCATTGTATGTTATTTGATTCTTTTGTCTTGTTGCTTTTAGGGTCTTTATTCTTGAGCTTAGGGAGTTTGATTATCAAATGCCTTGAAGTGGTCTTTGGATTAAATTTCTGGGTGTTCTATAACCTTCTTATAGTTGAATATTGATATCTTTCTCTAGGTTTGGGAAGTTCTCTGTTATTATCCCTTTGAATAAACTTCCTATCTCTATCTCTCTACCTTCCCTTTAAGGTCAATAACTCTTAGATTTCCCTTTTGAGGCTATTTTCTAGATCCTGTATGTGTCCTTCATTGTTTTATATTTTTTTCTTTTGTTTCCTCTGACTGTATTGTTTTTTCAACAGTTTGTCCTCCAGCTCACTAATTCTTTCTTCTGCTTGATCAATTCTGCTATTAGAAGACTTTGGTGCATTCTTCAATATGCCAAATACATTTTTCAGCTCCAGAATTTTTGCTTCATTCTTTTAAAATTATTTCAATCTCTTTGTTAAATTTATTTGATAGCATTTTGAATTTCTTTTCTGTGTTACCTTGAATTTCTTTGAGTTTTCTCAAAACAGTAATTTTAAATTGTTTGCCCAAAGGGTCACATATCTTTATTTCTTCAGGATTGGTCCCTGATGCCTTATTTATTTCATTTGGTGGGATCTTGTTTTCCTAGATGGTAGTGTTGATGCAGGTAGAACAGTAGATGTTCATCTGTGCCTGGGCATTGAAGAGTTAGATATTTATTGTAGTCTTTATGTTCTGGGCTTGTTTGTACCTATCCTTCTTGGAAAGGATTTCCAGATATTTGAAAGGACTTGGATGTTGTAATGTAAGCTGAATCTGCTTTAGGAGGCATGACAAGCCTGGTAAAACTGAATAAAATTCCACCAGACAATAATTTGAATTCATATGAAGAAAGCAAAAGCTCTGGTAAATGAAACTACATAGATAAATATAGAAGATGGTATTTGCATATTTTGGCTTGTTACTTGTCTTCCTTTTATGTGATTTAAAAGACAACTGCATAAAGCAGACCTGTAGAGGTACCACCTTGATGGTCTTGGACAAGATCAGTGAGAATTCCCCAGATTATCAGGCAGAGACTCTTGTTCTCTTCCCTTACTTCTCTTAGATGGAGTCTTTCTCCCTCTGTTGTGGGCTACCTAATGATGGAGGTGAATGTGGCCACTACCACTGTGATTGCACTGGGTTAGACCTGAAACAAATATAGCACTGGGTCTTGCTCAAGGCCTGCCATGACCACTTCCTGGGTAAGTGTTCATTCAAGGCCCTGGGGATCTATAACAAGCAGGTAGCAAAGCCTGCCATACCTGTGTCCTTCTTTTCAGGGTGGCAAGTTCCCCAGGCCCTGGATGGGTCCAGAGGTGCCATCTGGGAGTCAGGTATTAGGGTCAAAAACCTTAGAAGACTACATGTTGTTCTATTATACTATGGCTGAGGCAGCACTTAAGCCACAAGATGCAGTTCTTCCTACTCTTCCCTCCCATTTCCAAAGGTAGAGGGGCCTCTATCAGGTTCTATGGGTGCGCACCTGATTTTTGGTTCTTATGAAGGTGTGTTTTCTCTGTAGATAGTTGTTAAATATGTGTCCTTGCAGGGAGTATGGCACAAGACAATCAGCGGAGCCTTCCCTTGCTCCTGTGGGTGTTTCTTTAACCTTAAATTGAGGCTAAGAATATATACTTTCAGAAATATAGTTGAAATTAAAGTTAATGTATTTCAAACACTGAAATTGGGCATGAATCCTAGCACATAGTGCTTAGTAGGTCAATGCCAGTTACAAAAGTGTAGTTAAAAACCTTTAAAATTCTCTCCTCCATTCTAGCAATGAGAATACTGGAAAGAATGATCAGAGTCAACATTTTCAGAATTCTGGAAATTAAGCAAATGCTTATATCAGTCCAAGGAGTACTTATGTAATAAAAATGGCTAACTCTCAATAACAAGGAGGGTTATTGGCATTTTAATTTACCCTGTTTTCATTTTCTCTGCACAGCTTCTCTGTAGTCTTGAAAAACAATGGCCTGCAATTACATTGATACCCAGCAGCTTGGCAACCACTGGGAAGGGCAGAATGAGATTGGAGCTTTTTCAAAGCTCCTTTCCCAGATGATTGTTACTATTTGACCTATGTGTTCATTCCCTGGAAGACCTAACTCACAAATCTATCTTTATTTGACTTGACTTGGAACATTTTTCCTGGAGAAATTTATCAAAAACAATCAGAGGCAATTCTTAAACATTGCAGCAGCTTTAGGCAGTGGATTAAATTAGGGAAAACAACAGGCTAACCAAAAGGCTTAAATACAAAGCTGAGGAATGAATATCAGGACTGTGCATATGCCCAGGACTCTGTACATGTTCAAGAAAGACCCAGGAAAGCATAAGCTGTCACCTCTGGCTTACCTTGTGACCCTGTGAAAGCAGGATATGAAGGCTAAGGTAAAGTTTTAAGCTATCTGGCTGAGTAGTGAAGGCATGCCCCAAGACACACATAGAACCCCTTAGCAAAGACTGTAAGACTTATTGGTTCTATAGATATCTCTGTATAATTATTAACTTATCCATAATCTTATTGAGCAGGGACTTCAGTGACTGCATATAAGAAAATAATATGTCTCATAAAATTAGTTTAAAAAATGCTAATCCCAAGAACAACCAAACAACAAACAGTAACAATTATAAACATTGGAGATGGAAAAAATTTGATTTCCAGGATTGCCACATTGTATTAGTCTATTTGGGCTGATTTAACAAAATACCATAGACTGAGTCACTTATAAACAATAGGAATTTGTTTCTTGAAGTTCTGAAATTTGGAAAGTGTAAGATCAAGGCACCAGCAGATTTGGTCTGGTGAGAGTCCACTTTCTGGTTCTAGATGGTCATCTTCTTGTTATAATATATCATGGGGGAAGGAGCAAGAGATCTCTCTTGGGGGATCTCTTAGATAAGGTGCCTATCTTATAGGTGAGAGCTCCAATTTCATGATCTAATCATCACTCAAAGCCCCAACCTCCAAATGCCTTCACATTGGAGATTAAGTTTTAACGTATGAATTTTGGGAAGGACACAAACTTTTTGACCATAGTGTGTGAGCATGTGCGCACGCACACACACACATGTATGCTTATATATAGGCATGTATATATATGTATATTCCAGTTTTCAACAACAAGAAAAATATAATACATGGAAAAAACAAGAAAGTATGGCCCATACATAGGGGACTAACACAGTTGGCAGAAACTGTTTCTGGGGAAGCCCAGACTTCAGACATACTAAACAAAGACTTTCAATTAGTTATTTCAAATATATTTAAGGAAATAAAGAAAACTATGTCTAAGAATTATCAGAATGATGTCTCAGCAAATAGATCATTTCAATAAACAGATAGAAATTATAAAAAAGGGCCAAATGAAAATTCTAGAGGTAAAAAGTACAATAATTGAAATGACAAATTCACTAGAGGAGCTCAACAGCAGATATGAGTAGGCAGAATAAAGAATAAGTGAACCTGGGTAGGCCAATGGAAATCATACAGTCTGAGGAGCAGAAAGAGAAAGGAAGAAAAAATGAACAGGACCCCAGAGACCTATCAAGTACCATTAAAAATACCACCATATGTATAATGGGATTTTCAGAGAAAAGAAAGGGGCAGAAAGAATATTGGGAAAAAAATGATGGCTTAAAATTTTTCCAAAAGTTAATCTATGCATCCAAAAACCTCCTCAAATTCTAAATAGGATAAATTCAAAGAGATTATGGGATCATAATCAAACTAACAAAAACCAAACAGAGTGGGAGAATCTTGAAAGCAGCAAAAAAGAAGTGACTCATCATATCTAAGAGATTCTCATTAGCCAAACAGCTGATTTCTCATCAGAAGTGATAAAGGTCAGGAGGCAGTTGGATAACATATTCAAAGTACAGAAAAGAAAAGACTATCAATCAAGAATTCCCTGTCCAATGAAATTACCCTTTGAAAATGAAGGAGAAATTAAGATATTCCTAGGCAAACAAAAACAGAGAGGTTTTATTGTTAGCAGGTCTTCTCTTTAAGAAATACTAAAGGAGTCCTTCAGGCTGAAATAAAATTCCACCAGACAATAATTTGAATTTACATGAAGAAAGCAAAAGCTCTGGCAAACGTAACTACATAGATAAATATAGAAGACTTATTTACATATTTTAGCTTGTTACTTGTTTTCCTCTTATCTGATTTAAAAGACAACTGCATAAAGCAATAATTGTAAATATGTGTTGATGGATATGCAATGTGTAAAGATGTCATTTGTATGGCAATAACAACACAAAGTAGAAGGGAGGGAATGGAGCTATATAGAAGTGCTATTCCTATGTACTGTTGTATTTACGTTGGTGTTAATCTGAACTAGATATAAAAACATGATCCAAATATAGGTTGTCTACAAGAGCCATCCTTTAGATTCAAAGACCCAAATAAGTTGAAAGCAAAAGCTTGAAAAAATATAAACCACACAAACAGTAAGCAAAGGATAGCTGAAGTGGCTATACTTTAGCTAATAGTAATATCAGACAAAATGAAATTTAAGACATAAATTGCTATTAGAGATGAAGAAGGATATTTTATAAGGGTATACCAGTCAATTCACCAAGAGCTGCTTATAAACAACAGAAATTTTTTTCTTATAGTTCTGAAGGCTTGGGAAGTCCAGGATCAAGGCATTGGCAGATTTGGTATCTGGCATAAGAGTCCATTTCCTGGTTCTAGACGGCCATTTTGCCATAATCTCAGATGGTGAAAGGGGCAAGAGATCTCTCTGGGGATTTTACCTTTTATAAGGGTGCTAATGCCATGTTATAATGTCTGTAATAATTATAGGCCTATGTGCATCTAATAACAGAGCCCCAAAATATATGAAGTAAAAACTAACACTTTAGAAAAGAGAAATAGACAATTCAACAACAATAGGTGGTGACTTTGATATCTCACTCTCAGTAATGGGTTGACAACTAGGCAGAAGTTCATCAAGAAAACAAGACTTACACAATGCTATAAAGCAACTATATATAACAGTATTCTGTTAAGTGTACACCTAACTACATTTATACTATACTCTCTTCAACAACAGCAGAATATACACTCTTTTCAAGTGCACATGCAACATTCTCGAGGTTAGACCATATGTAACCTAAAACAAGACTCAATACACTTAAAAGAATTAGACAAAGTATGTTCTCCAGAATGTAATGAAATTAAAAATCATCATAGAAGAAATTTGGGCAATTCACAAATATGTAAAAATTAAACAACACATTTTTAAATAACCAATGCATCAAAGAGGAAATCATGAGGGAAATTAGAAAATACTTTGAGATAAGGGAAGATGAAAACATCATAGCATAACCTATGGAATACATCTAAACCAGTGCTTAGTGGGAAATTTGTAGCTGTTAATGTGTATATTTAAAAAAGAAGAAAGATCTGAAATTAATCACTTTACCTGCTCCCATGAAGACATTGGAAAATAAGAGCAAACTAAACCTAAAGGAAGCAGAAGAAAGGAAATAGCAAGGACTAGAGCAAAAACAAATGAATTAGAGAATAGATAGAGACTAAAAAAACAACAAAACCGAAGTGGATTCTTTAAAAAGATCACCAAAGTGACAAATCTGTAGCTAGATTGACCAAGAAAGAAAAGAGATGGAAGACTCAAATTACTAAAATCAGCAATGAAAGACAGACATTACTACTGACCTTACAAAAATGAAAAGGATTATAAGGGATACTATAAGCCATTATATGCAAAAAATTATATGACTTAGATAAAATGGATACATTCTTAGAAAGACATAAGCCACTGAAATTGACTTAATAGATGATCTGAACATAGTATAATAAGTAAAGATATTGAATTAGTAATAAAAATATTTCTCACAAAGAAAACCCAGGCCAAGATGGCTTTACTGGTGAATTTTATTAAGCAATTAAGGAAGAATTAACACCAGTCCTCCACAAGTTTTTCTAAAAAATAGGAGAGAACAATTCCCAACTCATTCTATGATACAAGTATTACCCTGATACCAAAATCAAAGATATCATAAGAAAAGAAAACTACAACCATCTCTTATGAAAATAGATATTAATACAAGAATTCTCAACAAAAGTTTAGCAAATGGCATCCAGTAGCATATAAAAGGAAATGTACACCATGACTAAGTGGGATTTATTTAGGAGTGCAAGGTTGTTTCAATATATGAAAACCAACCAATGTAATACACTATGTCAATAGAATAAAGGACGTAGTGTTCAGTAATGATAGCTGCTATTATTGCTATTTTTCTTGGTTCTCCATTCACTGCTTACCCATATATTAAAATATAGCAGCAGTTACAACTCTTATGATATATGATTTAAACGGCATCCTATTCTTCAGGCTGCAGAGTAATTGCTGTAATATATGTTTGCAAGATGGCAGAATATATTTGGTTTGCAAATTTCCACTGTCCTGGAAATTATGTGTGAAGTAAATTTGAAGTCTCTTCGCCTAGGTGAGGCTTTTTCCATTGAATGGCTGGTGGAATTTCTAGACTTCCAAAAAATGTGAATGGGAAGACATACAAATCTATTTTTTTGGATTTTTACACTGGAAAAGTTGACACTAGGATTTCAGCTTCAATTTGCCTCCCAACTCCAGATATCACTCTGCCTGAAAGTGCATCAAGTTCCAAGGTTCATTTCTATGGATGGAATGTGTCCTGATGTGTTTATAGTACAGTTGAGAGATTGATTCAGAAACTCAGCCTCCTCTGTTACCTCAGACAGTGAGGAAACTTCCTCAGAAATATTCAACCTGAATGAAACCCCATTTTGTTATCCACAAGTGTTTAGAATCCTTCATGACACCTAAGGGCTTATAAAAGGAGTGCTTTGTTGCATAATATTCCAGGCCAGGGATGTAGGATGTTAATAGGTTAAAATGCAGGGAAAATAACTAATCAGGTGAAGATGGGTTGTTAATAGGCAAATACTCCCAAATTTCTGTTTCTAAGGAAAAATCTTTTAAAAACAGAGATAATTAATCCCTGGGAGGACAAAGCCTTAGGTATAATGATAGATCCTTTAATGTTCTCGGTATCCTCTCTAAACACTATGATTCAAGAGAAGCTGTTTTCTTATTTTAAAGGCAGAATAAGAAAGGGGGTATTGTTAGAACATTTGTGTCCTTTATTCCATAATATAGATCTAGATGCTGGAGAAGATCAGAAGATTCTCTTTAGTAACTAAGAACTTGGAGTTTCAAATTCAACTGACATTTTCTTTCCCTTTAACTTGAACTTCAAAGGCATTGGAGTTTTGAAAATGCTTGCTGAATCCATTTGAAGAAATTTGTGTCATCTTGACATTCTGTGAATTTTGTAAAATTGTCCAGTCAGTGGAGACTTGGATATATACATTACATAACACGCTGTTTGAACAGGTACCTATAAAGGTTACTTTGTATTTCTGAATACATTGGCCATTCTCCTAAACTATAGAGGCAATTACAGTAAGTTACCTAAAACTGCTTATTCTTAATCCAGTTTCTTACATTTCCTCTTTCTCCCAACGGGTTTATAATTGAAATCATTAAAGTATTACATCTGATAATTGATGGTGAATCACTTCTAAATGTTTGAGGACAATTTTTAGAAATATTTATTCTCCTCACTGTATATTGATATAACTACAATTTACCAGGAAAAGGTTAATATTTTATGGATTCCTGAATCAATTTCTAGGCTTTTAAGTGTGGAGAGAGTGCAGTAGGTGGATGGGTCATTGAAGATTTTCTCCAGGGGTAGGGCATATGATGTAATGATAGTCAGAGATTGCTTTATGTAGAATCACTCATTTCCTTGAAATAATACTCTTTGAAAGTCTCCAGGGAGAAAAAGAGGGAAAATCTCACCTTGTACTAGTAGCAGGAGATATGAGAAACAATTGAAAATAAAGAAAGGCAAAATTAAAGTAGAGCTGACAGGGTGTGTGACCTTCACCGAGCTCAGGCCGGATCAGTGTGGGAGGGAAGAGAAGGAGAGAATTTGGATTATGTTATTCAAAGGAAAACTTTAGCTCTAAGACTGCGATCAAAAGGCAAGTGTATTAAAATACAGGATCTGCAAGTAAACAGTGTACTCTCTGCTGTAGCTGGGAATCTATATTGAACTCCAGGCTTAGGTGTATTTTTTATTTTGACTCTATTCATGTGTTCCCAGATATTGTTTTAACCAGATGATAACTTGTTTCTGCTACAATGGATGTGGTCTCAGCAATATGGCTGAATTTCTTCATCCCTAAACTCAGACTTAGCCTCTTTCTTAGGCAATCAAGACAGGTATTGGCAAAGATAAGACATGAAACTTAATTTTGTCACTGTAAGGTGAATTTTCCTTGTATACACTCATATTAATGTATCTTAAGGAAGGCCAGATATGATGGAAAAAAAATTCACATTGTTGGGCATTAGACCTGGATTTTCTTGTTATTCTCTGCCACAAATAAATTAGCTGTGTTTTCTTAGATGTTACCTCTTGAGACTTCAGTTTATTCACCTTTAAAGTACGGATAAGTTGATGCAATGCAAAGTACCTGAGGATTTTTAATGTCTAACAATTCTAGAGTCTTGTCCAGTTGGACCCTTGAAATCATTACATCTGACTCTGCATTTCTTAGCTTAGCAAAAGGAATGCCATTAATTTCTTATGGTCACAGGTGTTAGCTTTAGGTACTAGTCCACTTGTCCAAACTCTGGCACTGCTGAGTCCCAGAAGCACTGGTTAAGTGCTGAAGAGCTAGAGGCAGACATCTTGTGCTTGAATACAGTCTTCTCTGTTTTTTTTAATTGACACTATAATTTTGGGTAAGTTGTTTTTCTTTTCAACACAGTTTACTTTTCTTTCAAATATAGATAATTGTGTACCAACTTCAAAGCATTGTGAGGATTAAGTGAAAAAATGCATGTAAAGCATTTAGTATAGTACCAAGTACACGACAAGCATGCAATAAAAATGAACAATTATTATAGGAAGTACAGCGTATAAAAATAAATCTCTGCATGCTAGAAAGTAAGAATGGGGAAAAGCAGAGTGGTAGTAAAGGTTTGCATTTCAAAATGAGTATATGAAATTTAAAAAGGTAACAATGGTTTCTCTGGGAAGAAGTTTGTTTATGTCCTTACCTCTCAATTGCGGTCTGAGGGCCCTTTTATGGAATATCAAGGTCTTTCTGCTAGGTTGACACTTTTCTCCATTTCTAATTTCTGTAAAAATATGGGTATTAGAAGATGTAAGTGGTAATAGGCACACTATGTCTTTGGACTAGGGCAGAAAAAGGAACTAATCCTGTGCTCAAGTCTCCCAATTAACAGTGAACATCAAAGACACCAATTTTGAACATGAGACTGAGTTGTTCTGTTTGTATGTTTGTATCTGCAGGGAAATAGGAAGGAGATGAAAACTGTAAAAAAGAACTGCTCTTTAAATATATTCTAATTACTTCAAGACTTGCAAGAAATTGAATAAGTGAGATAATGAAAATGAATGAGTCAAGTTTGGGGTTTTCTGTCTGGTTTTGATCAGGAAGTCTAACTTTTGGCATAGACCTTCAGGAACTTGTAAAAACATTAGTTGATTGTTGGTTCTCTCAAAGGCCATCTCCTCTAGGGAAAAGTTGGTAATCAGAAGGGCATCCAACCTTATTCTCAAGAGTTCTTGTCCCTGAAAGGATTCTCTGGAGCACCGGGCTATCCAGAAGGGAGACCATGATCCTGGAGCTTGGAGCTCTTAGGCCCGCTTCTCAATGAAGCATGTGTGGGATCACAAGGAAGATGTTACCTTTTCATGTACCTCGTCAGGTATCATACCTCCATGTAACAGAGGCAATTCATCTTACCCACCACTGCCTTTGTGCTTTAAGAACACATAAAGATTTAAAAAAAAAAAAAAACCTGAAGTCTAGGAAAAAGTGAGAATAATAGCAAAACTTAGCTTTAAGTACTATCTTAAAGTTAATTGAATGAAATGTGCATTCTTCTTCAAGTAAATGAAAATAGACTATGTATTAAGGAGATTCTCATTGATTATTCAGACTTGACTTACTGACTGTCATATCAATGCTATAAAACCAGAGATCAACAATCTTTGACTGGTAGACTAAAGATGATATTAGGAAGATTCTAAAAGATCCATGAGCAGTCATAGATATTAGGAAGATTCTAAAAGATCCATGGGCAGTCATGGCAGCCTCATCCTCTGTCCTGATCTTTTCAGAAAAGTTAGGGTCCAGTCAGGCACTCTCCCTATGTCCATATGGTGACTTGGTGACAAAAATTTAATGAGCACATTATAGCAGTTACTTCAACTATACCCAGCTATTTCCTGGATTCCTATCATGTACCAATGTACAATTCCCTATATTTGTTTTCCTACATATTCTGCTCAATGTAAACATTTATGATTTCAGCTTCAGGTCTCCAAGAAAAAATATAGAAACTATATTTCTTTCCTAACTATACAGGTAGTTATGCAAGCTGTAGAAAACATAAATAAAAATCACCCATAGTTTCACATCCAGAAGTAAATGTCCTAAATATATTATTTCCTTATCAACTTTTCTCTACACATATGTTTTACCATAGGTAAAACAAAACCTATATAAAATTTTATAACTAAAATTTTTGAAGTCAAATTTTATTACTAAAATATACCTATAAAACCTATAATCTTCAATACTAAATCCATAACTATTATCACTAACTTTTAACCTATGGAATACTTGCATAATTATAATTAAGATATACAGACTATTTTATGGTTTTTAGTTCATGTTATTTCATATACACATTTTAAAGTCTTATTAGTCTCCAAAACTATTACCTCTAATGAATGCATTAATTCATCATATTGATGTCTAAGTGAAGTTTTGAAACAACTACACTCTAGGAAATGGAATCTCTCTCTTCTGGGTGTCCCATGTCTTCTAAGAATATTTTTGAGGTCAGGCTAATAAAAAACTAAGAAGTCAGCTAGAGAAGTTTACGGGTACCTATTCCTAGAGAGTTTTGGGAAGAGAAGGAATCATCTGTGAGATGGCAGAGCAGTGAAAAGGCAAAGTTTTGGACTATTTGATTCTTTTATGCTTCTTTTTTTTCCTTTCTTTTTTCTAAAGGTAAAATATTCCTTCCTGGAGGTTTTATCACCCACACTACATAGATGGAGAAGAAAAAGAATGTGACTGAATTCATTTTAATAGGTCTTACACAGAACCCCATAATGGAGAAAGTCACGTTTGTAGTATTTTTGGTTCTTTACATGATAACACTTTCAGGCAACCTGCTCATTGTGGTTACCATTACCACCAGCCAGGCTCTGAGCTCCCCCATGTACTTCTTCCTGACCCACCTTTCTTTGATAGACACAGTTTATTCTTCTTCTTCAGCTCCTAAGTTGATTGTGGATTCCTTTCAAGAGAAGAAAATCATCTCCTTTAATGGGTGTATGGCTCAAGCCTATGCAGAACACATTTTTGGTGCTACTGAGATCATCCTGCTGACAGTGATGGCCTGTGACTGCTATGTGGCCATCTGCAAACCTCTGAACTACACAACCATTATGAGCCACAGCCTGTGCATTCTCCTGGTGGCAGTGGCCTGGGTGGGAGGATTTCTTCATGCAACTATTCAGATTCTCTTTACAGTATGGCTGCCCTTCTGTGGCCCCAATGTCATAGGCCACTTCATGTGTGACTTGTACCCATTGTTAAAACTTGTTTGCATAGACACTCATACCCTTGGTCTCTTTGTTGCTGTGAACAGTGGGTTTATCTGCTTATTAAACTTCCTTATCTTGGTGGTATCCTATGTGATCATCTTGAGATCTTTAAAGAACAATAGCTTGGAGGGGAGGTGTAAAGCCCTCTCCACCTGTATTTCTCACATCATAGTAGTTGTCTTATTCTTTGTGCCCTGTATATTTGTGTATCTGCGCTCAGTGACCACTCTGCCCATTGATAAAGCTGTTGCTGTATTTTATACTATGGTGGTCCCAATGTTAAATCCCGTGGTCTACACACTCAGAAATGCTGAGGTAAAAAGTGCAATAAGGAAGCTTTGGAGAAAAAAAGTGACTTCAGATAATGATTAAATAAGACCATTGAGCACTCAACATAGAGGTAATAGGTATTTAAGCTTCTTGATTTGTAGATGAATATGTCAACTCTAACAAGGGGCTGGCTAATGCTTGCAGATAGTCAGTAAAGCATAAAGCTAAAGCTTGGACTGTAAAGCTTACTGTCTCTTATCCCACACTCTTGTCATCACCACTATTGCTTTTTAATTAATACATATTCATCAATTGCCTGGAAACTTGAAACATCTCTAGATGCTAAAAAGTATAAATGTAGAATATTAGATTGATATTAAAATAATCTTATTATATAACATTAAGCTGTTGGTTACTGCTGATTATTGAAATTTACATGTTTAATGATATTTCTTTAATTTGGACCCTGGCTTAATATATACATACTTTCTTTTGTAAATTTTATTGGTCACAATATGTTGGTCATATTGTAAAAAGATGTTCTGTTCATCTAATGCCGCAAGACTGCATTATATTAAGTTTTTTCCATATTGTATCAGCTAGGGTTCAATCAGGAGACAGATCACACAGCTTCCCCGATTTGAGCATTGCAAATTTACATAAAATTATTAATTATATCGAGGGATTAACTATAAAGAAGTAAAGAATGCCCTGTGACTGAGAAACGAGTATCTAAGAAGGGAACACATTTGGGAGCTGGGCTCCCTTCCCAAGGCTGAGATTCCAATATCTTGGAGAAAGTGTAGTTGCTGCCCATTGGATGGTGGAGAAGTTCACTGGGTAGTCTTGGGCCAGAACTAGTTCATGGTAGCTGGATAGAAGCTGCCACACAAGAAACCTGTCTGGGACTGGCCAGCCAGGAGGCTTTTGCTGGAATACTGGTGGGCTTAGGCTGGTAAATGAGGAACTGTAGCCTGGACTGGCAAGCAGGAAATAACCCTCTAGGGTGCAGGTGGACCAAGGCTACCCCATTATCGATAGGCAGTTTTGGAAACCTGATTGTTGGAGTATCTGTGTGACTTATTGGAATCTCCCTGCACCACTGAAACTCGATGGGAAATTGTCCATGAAGTTGTCAGTGAAACTCAATGGAAGTGAGCACCTCTGAATGTCTCTCCCTCCCCCTGCCCGGCCCAGCCAAACACACATGCTGCTGGAAGCTACAGAGAGCAAGATGAAAACAGAAACGTATTTAAATCAGGAAGAGATGCCCCTTTTGATTCTCTATATTGACAAATCTTAACATCAAAGCAGACTAGGTGCAGAGGATAAATTCCTACAGGGCTTATTTTCATTAATATGCACAGGAAATGAAGGTTGTATTTGGAGCTGAGAGGCAATACATTGATAACTAGCACCCAAATTTTATTCTTAATTCTTATAATACATTTTACAGGATATTGAAGTGCATATATATGGCATGATTTGACCAAACCTCAAGTTAGTGGCAGAATGAGACATAAATTGAGATATGGTTCCTTATTCTACATAATTTGCTGGTAGTAGGTAGCTGCAACTATTTTTTTTATTGTAAAGCCTAAAAATGAAAATAAAACATATATTAAAAATTCTGTATTACCTAATGTTATAATTTCATTTAATTTTACTATTAGTTATGCACTGGTATCTGATTAATCCTTTCACTGAAGATATACAGACAGAGGGTGAACAATTACTCGGAAGTGGTCTTGTAGAAAAAACTTAAACATTATTGTTATTTAAACTTTTTTTTTGAGACAGAGTCTCACTCTGCTGCCAAGGATGGAGTGCAGTGGTGTGATTTGGATTCAACACAACCTCCACCTCCTGGGTTAAAGCGATTCTCCTGCCTCAGCCTCCTGAGTAGCTGAAACTACAGGTGGGTGCTACCATGCCTGGATAATTTTTATATTTTTAGTAGAGACAAGGTTTCACCACGTTGGCCATGGTGGTCTCGAACTCCCAACCTCAGGTGATCTGCCCACCTCGGCTTCCCAAAGTGCTGGGATTACAAAGTGAGGCATGTGCCTGGCTTATTTAAACTTTTAACTGAATTTTCATGATTTGGCAATTGTTATACTCTTCAAAGCATGAAGGATCTAGTTTTTGCTCCTTTGTCAAAAGGTATATGATGGGTCACTAGGCATTAGACTGGTACCAGAATGGGAACAGGAATGTGTAGAAAGATAAAGTTATGAGAAAACTGGAAATATATAGCATCCAGGGACACAACCAGAATTGATATCCAAGGGCGACTGAAACTTCAATCTGGCAGGAAGGCAAAATCACACATAAGTCACCAAGACAGGTACCTGGCATGAAGATACTCAAGAAATTTTAGAGTGGTGAGTAGAAGATGGATGCAGCAGAGATTCCTGGGACACAATTCTAGAGTGTCTTTTGACTCATTCTAGAGTAAAGAAATTAATAAAGATGACTAGACAGTTTGGATAGAAAATTGTCAGTGAAACTGGTAATACTTGTTAAAACTTTCATAAGTGTTCCCCACTGAGCATGTACAGGTAGTCTTAGAGAGGATCATTAGGTAAACAGCCTTAATAAAGATGACTTATATGCATAGTGCACTTCACTGTTTATGTTAGTTTAACTTTTTTCCACGCAATTCTATTTCCTACTACTACTCATGTAATAAAAAAGATTAAAAGCTGTTATCAGAGATATCTCATTCTCCATTCCCATTTGTATCCCTGAATCTGTGTTCCTGAGACCACTATGCCTCAACCTCCAGCTCTACCTTCCACATCCAGCTCATTCCTGAATGATTTTATACTTTGACTTAGCATTAATAATTCCATCAACTGTCATAGATAAGCCAAACTTCACTTAACATATTATGCTTTTCTTGAACAGTTTGGATTTAGGAAGATATTAATCACAAATATTAGTAATTTTTTTCTTGGTATAATCCATTGTATGTGTTTTTTAATTTTTTTTCCCATAAGTTATTGGGGTGCAGGTGGTATTTGGTTACATGATAAGTTCTTTAGTGGAGTTTTGTGAGATCCTAGTGCACCAATCACCCGAGCAGTATATACTGCCTCATATTTGTTGTCATTTATCCCTCGACCCCCTCCCACTCTTCTCCCCAAGTCCCCAAAATCTATTGTATCATTCTTATGCCTTTGCATCCTCATAGCTTAGCTCCCACATATCAGTGAGAATATACAATGTTTGGTTTTCCATTCCTGAGTTACTTCACTTAGAATAATAAGACAAATATTAGTATCTGTACAATAAAAAATCAACTATGTATTATAAAATCATTATATCATACCATTTAATTTCTAATATTTCTTTGCTTTATTGAAGTAATACTGACTAACAAAAATTGCATATATTTAAGATATGCAATGTGATGTTTTGATATATGTATACACAGTAAAATGATTACCATAATCAAGCTAGTTGACATAGCTCTCACCTCACATAGGTACTATTTTTTTTTGTAAGATTTAAGATCTATTCTCTTAGTAAATTTCAAGTATACATTACATTATTATTATTCAGTATAATCACCAGGATGTTCATTTCATCTTCAGGACTTTATTCAGTTTGTTTAACTGAAATGTTGTACTTTTAGACCAACATCTCCCCATTATGCCCATTCCCCCAACCCCTGTCTACCACTTTTCTGCCTCTATGCCTTGCCTCCAGGTCTTGTTTCTGATGACAGGTCCTAGGATTACCTATGTGTGTAATATTTATTACTACATTGAGACTTGAACATCATTCAATGTATTCAAAACCTCATTAATCTTCTCTCTCTTCCTTCCATCCAGTGATCTAAGCCAGGGCCCAAGTTTCATCTGTGACTTCTCTCTCTCTAATCTTCATCCTATATCAAGTTCTTTTGTTTAGAATTCAAAAATATTCTTCGAAACCTTCTATATCTCTCCATGTTAATTTGATTTCTCTAGGCTCAGAGGATGATATGGGAATTTTAATAAACGTGATTTATAAGGGGAAAAGACTGAAGGAAACATACAATAGTAGGGGAAGGAAGGATGTGGTCTCAACTAATCTGTCTCTAGCCTGGAGCCCCGGGAGCTCTGAGGTATACATTGTACTACAGAACTGCTTCCACCTTGAGACAAAGGAACTAACCTCTTAAACCCTATTCCAGTCAATCATCGCTGGTGGGCTCCGGGAGAGGGAACAAAATACCCTAAGTGATGCAGCTCCCATTTTATCTGGTGCAATTGTCCAGAAAAGGGCAAGGCTGTGAGCTGTTGGCAGCCCACACCCACAGTAGCTGGGGCACTTGTGCACTGGCCTGGTGAAGGGGATTTGAGCTGGACACAATAGTGTCCACCACATTCTGCGTCCTTACTGGCAACACCAGGGCTGAGGCCTCCAGCCTTTCACACTGAAATAATTACAATAACCCCTAGGTGCTCTCCTGCTTCCAGTCTTGATCCATCAATCCATTGTACATACTGTAGTTAGGATTATCATTATAAAATTAAAATCTAACTGCATTACTCACTAGCTTAAATATACTTTCCCTGTTTCTCCCATAGTCATTAGTGTTAAGTCTTAACACAACTATAAGCACCTTCTTGATATTCTCTTTTCCTATCTCTCTAGCTTCATATCTTACAATTTACAAGACTTTATAAGCTCAGTGTCTCTCATGGTGGCTGGCACGCAAGTTGGGGGTTCAGTAAATAATTGCTGAATGAATGAGCAAATTAATAATCATGGCCATACTGCACTGACTAGGTTTCCTGCATACTCTTTTCACCTCCTGGCCTTTGTTATGTATTCTCTCTCCTACAAGCACTGCTCTCACCTTCATGCATATTCATTCTGCTGACTCCTTTTCTTTTCTTTTTTCTTTTCTTTTCTTTTCTTTTTTGAGACATAGTCTTGCACTGTCACCCAGGCTGGAGTGCAATGGCATGATCTCAGCTCACTTCAACCTCTGCCTCTCAGGTTCAAACAATTCTCCTGCCTCAGCCTCCCAAGTAGCTGGGATTACAGGTGCCTGCCCCCACGCTGAGCTAATTTTTGTATTTTTAGTAGAGATGGGGTTTCACCATGTTGGCCAGGCTGGTCTCGAACTCCTGACCTCGTGGTCTGCCTGCCTCGGCCTCCCAAAGTGCTGGGATTACAGGCGTGAGCCACTGTGTCTGGCCCCCATTCTGCTGACTCCTTTTCATCCTTCTGGTCATATTTTTGATATCTTTTCATCTAGGAATCCTTTTTTTTTTTTTTTTTTTTTTTTTTTTTTTTTTTTTTTTGAGACGGAGTCTCGCTCTGTCGCCCAGGCCAGACTGCGGACTGCAGTGGCGCAATCTCGGCTCACTGCAAGCTCCGCTTCCCGGGTTCACGCCATTCTCCTGCCTCAGCCTCCTGAGTAGCTGGGACTACAGGCGCCCACCACCGCGCCCGGCTAATTTTTTGTATTTTTAGTAGAGACGGGGTTTCACCTTGTTAGCCAGGATGGTCTCGATCTCCTGACCTCATGATCCACCCGCCTCGGCCTCCCAAAGTGCTGGGATTACAGGCGTGAGCCACTGCGCCCGGCCTAGGAATCCTTTTATAACCCCTCAGGTCTATGTCTATTCAGATAATTCAATGTTAAATCACAGTTGTTAAAAAACTGTACACATTAAATGTGTAGTTTTTGGTATATCAGTTATAATTCAATAAAGAAAGTTTTCTTATGAGTATAAATCTTTTTATCTGGCCTAAGTCTCAAAAATTTTCACAGAAAACCTGGGACTTGAATTAAAATCGATTCACTGGAAACACCATGAAGAATTGATTATGTATAGCTCTGGTTCCACAGTGCAAGAGGCAAAAGGTGTGGAGGAAACAGTTATGTATGGATCACTTTGCCTGTGATTAATCTTGCTGTGGATGAGTGAACAAGAAAAACATTTCTGTCTTGTACTGCATGAATATTTAAAGAGGTTTCCGTAAAGATTCAGGGATCTTATTTTATAGCTGCTGCTTTCTCTCCTAGGAATTAATTATCTCCTTTGATGGAAAAACTTTGCCACAGAAGTAGTATTCTGGAGAGACAAGTTTGGGAATAATAAAACAAAACAAAACAATTCCTGAATGAGGAATTTCATTCTTTATACTTGGAACCTAATCCTATGAGTCCTCTTTCTCTATCTGAACCTGTGTTGTTAAGAATGCTGAATGCTGTGTGAGTAGCAAGGTAGTGTAACTTGTATGTGGACCTGTGATGTAGTTTCTTTGTTGATTCACGTCACAGGAGGCTTCTTTTTTTAAAAAATCAACATTACACCTTTTTATGGAAACCTGCTAATGGTTGCTTGAGATCTAGAGCAGTGAGGGCATGAAACTAATTGTGGCCATTTAATTAATTTTAATTTTTAAATTTAAAAATATTTAATTGACAAAGATGTTATGTGTCCAAGGTGGACAAAATGTTGATTTGATCGATGTGTACATTGTGTAATAGTTATTACAGAAAATTAACACATACATTACTAATCATGCTATACATGAGATCCTCAGAACCTGTTCATCTTATAGATGAAAGATTGTTCTCTTTGATAAATATAGTCCCATATCCCTCATCTGCCAGGCCCTGGCAACCATCATTCTACCATCATTCTCTCTGTTTCTATGAATATGACTCTTTAGATTCTGCATATAAGTGAGATTATACAGCGTTTGACTTTCTATGTCTGGCTTATTTCACTTAGTACAGTGTCCTGTAGGTTTTTCCACATTGTCACAAATGGCAAGATTTCCTTAAGATCAAAACAATTTCTTGTAGAATTTTTATAGATTTAGCATGTGGATCTCTAACTCATTTTAAGGTTATTTGTGTGTGTGTGTGCATTATATGAGGTAATGGCTGAAGTTTTTTTTTTCTTATGGGTATCCAATTGACTCAGCATAATTTGTTGAAAAATATTGAGTTGCCTTGGCATTCCTTTAAAAATTTATATATTTAGATGTATTTTTGGACATTCTATTATATTTTAGTGAGCTATATTTTTATCCTATGCCAATACCAAACAGTATTGATACTGGTACATTATACTAAATCTTGAAATTAGGTAGAGTGTAAATTTCAGGATAAGCTTGTCAACATCTCCAAAAATTCTGATTGGAATTGCATTGAAAATATAGAATGATATGGTAAAAGAATTATTAAGTTTTCTAATTTATTATTATCATATATCTCTCCATTTATTTATGTATTTAATTTCTCTGACCAGGGTTTTCTACTTTTCATATACAGGTCTTGAATTGATTGTTATAATTTACTCCTCAAATTCCATGTTTTAAAATAATGTTTTATATAGTATTTTGCTTCTAATTTCAATTTCTAATTGTTTGTTGCTACTGTAGAAGTACAACTGATTTTTAAAATATTGACATTATATCCTGTTACTTTGCTAAACTCACTGATTAGTCCTATTAGTTTTTTGTAGAATACTTTAAATTTTCTACCTACATGATTATGTCATCTGCAAATAAATGTATTTTTATAATTTTGTTTCTTCTTTTGCAATCTCTGTGTCTTTTATTTCTTTTTCTTATATTTTTGCAGTGGCTGAAACCTAGGGTACATTACTAGACCTAGGTTTCGTAGCTGAATGGAAGTGATGAGTGGACATCCTTGTCTTGTTCCCAATCTTAGAGGGATAGTGTTCATCATTAAGTGGAATCTGTAAGGCTATATGCTCTTTCATTATTGACATGAGTTGTCTTTTCTCTCTCTCCTCCCTTACTTCTTTCCATCTTTTGCTCCTTCACATTAATCTAGCTAATTGTTTATCAATTTTATTGTTCTTTTAAAATAATCAGATATTTGTTAAATTGATTTTTCTATTTTTAAAATTTACATTTCATTGATTCTTGTTCTAATCCTTATTATTTCCTATCTTCTACTTAGTTTCTGCTTAATTTGTTGTTATTTTTTGTGTCTGTAGTACAAAACTTTTGATGTTTGTTTTCAGACATTATTTTATTTATTTATTTATTTATTTATTTATTTATTTATTTATTTATTTATTTTGAGATGGAGTCTTGCTGTGTCGCCCAGGCTAGAGTGCAGTGACGTGATCTTGGCTCACTGCAACCTCCACCTCCCAGGGCCAAGTGATTCTCTTGCCTCAGCCTCTGGAGTAGCTGGGATTACAGGCGCCCACCACCACGCCTGGCTAATATTTGTATTTTTAGTACAGATGGAGTTTCACCATGTTGGTCTTAAACTCCTGACCTTGTGATCCACCCACCTCAGCCTCCCAAAGTGCTGGGATTACAGGTGTGAACCACTGCGCCTGGCCTATTTATTTTTAATATATGCATTTTGTGACCCAAATTTTCTTTTTAGAACTTTTGTTACTTTCCTGAAATTCAGATACGTTGTGCTTTAAATTTCATTTATTTCAAAATATCTTTTGTGTTGTGATTTCTTTAATTAACCTAAAAATTACACGAAAAAATTCATTCTTTGACTATTTAAAAATGTGTAATCAATTGGCTTTGGGTACAATCACAATGTTTTACAATAATTACAACTATCTAATTGCAGAAGATTTTCATCACCTCCTAATAGTTGAACAGTTGTTCCTATTTCCCCTTTTCCCAGTCCGTGGTAACCAGTAATCTGCTTTTTGTTCCTATTAATTTGCTTATTTTAGACATTTTATATACATAGAATTATGCAATTTTCAACCTTTAGTGTCTTCTTTCACTTAGTATGCTTTCAAGATTCATCCATGTTGTAGCATGCATCAGTACTTTATTGTGGACATACCAAAATTTGGTTATCCACTCATACAGACTGATAGAAATTTAGGTTGTCTTCACAATTGTGAGTGGTGCTGCTATAAACTCTTATGTACAAGTTTGTTCAAACACCTGTTTTTAATTCTTTTGGGTATATAACATAGGAGTGGAATTGCTGGGTCAGGTGGTCATTCTATGTTGAACTTTTTAAAGAACAACCAAACAGTTTTTCACAGATCCATAGATTTTACATTTCACATTTCCATTAGTAATGTACTAGATTTCCAATTATTCAATATTCTTGCCACACTGGTTAATTGCCATTTAAAAAAATTATGGCCATCCACTGGGTGTGAAGTGGTATTTCATTTCAATGTTGATTTACATTTCCCTAATGACCAATGATGTTTAGCATATTTTTATATGCTTATTAGCTATATGTATATCTTATATGGGAAAATGTCTTTTTCAAATTCTTTGTGTATTTTCAAATTGGGTTGTTTACCTTTTTTTTTCAGTTGTGACAGTTCTTTTTGTATTCTGGAAACAATACTCATCAGATATACGATTTGCAAATATTTCTCCTATTCTTTGGGTTGATTTTCACTTTTTTGATAGTGTACTTAGATTCAGAATCATTTTTAATTTTGATAAAGTCCAATTTATGTATTTTGAAATTTGGGAACTGTGCTTTTACCATTTTATCAAGATTAGGATAGATAGTGACATTTATTTTCACATGCTATTCTTGTTTTACCCCAAATAATAGCCAGATAAGTGAATTGATCTTGTTTTATAATTTGTTATGCTTTGTTTTTCATTTTTTCAAAATCTTTATTTAAAATGTGGAGAGAATAAAATAATAGCAATATCCTGTCTCCAAATCCATGAACATGGAATATCTCTCTATTTATTTAGATATTTTTAAATTGCTTTTACCAATGTTTTCTAGTTGTACATTTAAAACATATTTTGAACTTTTAGATAAAAGATAAAAACAATAGATGCTGTTGAAGCTGCAGAGAAAAGGGAACACTTACATAATGTTGGTGGGAATGTAAATTAGCTCAGCTACTTTGGAGAGTGGTTTGGAGATTTCTCAAAGAACTGTTGTTGTTTTTTTTTAATAGATATTAAGGGTACATGGGCAGGTTTGTTCCATGGATATATTGTGTAGTGGTGAAGTCTGGGCTTTAAGTGTACTCATTTCCTGCATAGTGAACATTGTACCCAGTAGGTAACTTTTCAGCCTTCACCATTCTCCCACCCTCCCAACTTTTGGAGTTTCCAATGTCTACTTTTTCACCCTGTATGTCCATGTATGCCATTGTTTAGCTCTCACTGAAAGTGAGAACATCTACACTCATAAGTAAGAGTTGAACAATGAGAACACATGGACACAGGGAGGGGAACATCACACACCAGGGCCTGTTGGGGGGTTGGGGATTAAGGGAGGAACAGCATTAGGAGAAACACCTAATGTAGACGATGGGTTGATGGGTGCAGCAAACCACCATGGCATGTGTATACCTGTGTAACAAACCTGCACATTCTGCACATGCATCCCAGAACTTGAAGTATAATAATAACAAAAAAACTAAATAAAAACTTGCTGATTAATTACTTTAAAAAATGAGAACATGTAGCATTTGGCTTTCTGTTCCTGGGTTATGCAACTTAGAATAATGTCCACCAGTTCCATCCACATTGCTGCAAAAGACAAGATTGCATTTTTTTATGGCTGAGTACTATTCCATGGTGTGTGTGTGCGTGTGTGTGTGTGTGTGTGTGTGTGTTTGTATATATATCTCACATTTGTGATATCTATCTATATATCTCACATTTTCTTTATCCATCATCTGTTGATGGTTGATTCCATGTCTTTACTATTGTGAATAGTGCTGCTAAAAACGTAGTGCAGGTATCATTTTGATAGAATGATGTCTTTTTCTTTGGGTGGATACCCAGTATTGGGATTGCTGTATCAAAGGGCAGTACTACTTTTAGTTCTTTGATAAATCTCCCTCTGTTTTTCATGCAGGTTTTATTAATTTTATTCCTAGCAATAGTGTATATTACCTGTTGTTTTTGACTTTTTAATAATAGCCATTCTGACTGCTGTAAGATGGAATTTCATTGTGGCTTTAATTTATATTTCTCTGATGATCAGTGGTGTTAAGCACTTTTTCTTGTGTGTTGGCTGCTTGTATGTCTTTTTTTTTTTTGGAAAAATGCCTGTTTATGTCCTTTTCCCACTTTTAAATGGGATTATTATTATTATTTTTCTTATTTGAGTTCCTTGTAGATTCTTGATACTATCCTTTTGTCAGATGCTTAATTTGCAAATATTTTCTCCAAGTTTTAAATTGTTTATTCTGTTAATTATTTTGCTGTGCAGAAGCTATTTAATTTTATTAAGTCCCATTTATCTATTTTTGTTGTGTTTAATTTTGAGGACTTGGTCATAATTTTTTTGCCTAGGCCAATGTCCAGAAGAGCTTTTCTTAGGTTTTCTTCTATGATCTTTATAGTTTCAGGTCTTACACTTAAGTCTTTTTATCCATCTTGTGTTAATTTTCTTACATAGTGAGAGATATGGGTCCATATTTATTCTTCTGTATATGGCTATCCACTTTTCCCAGCATCATTTATTGAATAGGGTGTCCTTCCCTCAGTGCATATTTTTATCACCTTTGTTGAAAATCAGTTGGTTATAGGTAAGTGGCTTTATTTCTGGGTTCTCTATTCTGTTCCATTGATCTATGTGTCTATTTTATATCAGTGCCATGCTGTTTTAGTTATTATAGACTTGGAGTATAATTTAAAATCAGGTAATGTAATGCCTCCAGCTTTGTTCTTTTTGCTTAGGATTGCCTTGGCTATTCAGGGTCATTTTTAGTTCCATATGAATTCTAGGATTTTTCCCAATTCTGTGAAAAATGGCATTGGTAATTTGATAGAAACTGCATTGAATCTATAGATTGCTTGCCACCTTAACAGTATTTAGTCTACAATCCATGAGCATAGGATTTTTGTTTGTTTGTTTGTGTCATCTATGATTGTGTCATCAGTGTTTTGTAATTCTCCTTGTAGAGATCTTTCACCTCCGTGGTTAAGTTTATTTGTATGTATTTTATTCTTTTTGCAGCTATTGTAAATAGGATTCACTTCTTGATTTAGTTCTCAGCATGATTGTTATTGGTATATAAAAATGCTACTGATTTTTGCATGTCAATTTTGTATCCTGAAACATTAATGAAGTCACTTGTGAGATCTAGGAGTCTTTTGGAGAAGTTTTTTTATTTTTGTTTTGTTTTTTGTTTTTTGGTATAAGATCATATTATCAGTCAACAGAAATAATTTAACTTCCTATTTTCCAATTTGGATAAGTTTTATTTCTCTTTCTAGCTATGACTTCTAGTACCAACTATATTGAGTAGGAGTGTTGAAAGTGGGCATCCTTGTCTTGTTGCAGTTCTTAAAGGGGAATGCTTTAAACAGTATCCCATCCAGTGTACTGTTGGCTGTGTGTTTGTTGAATATAATTTTTATTATTTTGAATTTTGTTCAACCAATTTTTTTCCTTTTTTGTTTCCTTTTATGGCTGCATAGTATGCCATGGTGTATATGTGCCACATTTTCTTAATCCAGTCTATCATTGTTGGACATTTGGGTTGGTTCCAAGTCTTTGCTATTGTGAATAATGTCACAATAAACATACATGTGCATGTGTCTTTATAGCAGCATGATTTATAATCCTTTGGGTATATACCCAGTAATGGGATGGCTGGGTCAAATAGTATTTCTAGTTCTAGATCCCTGAGGAATCACCACACTGACTTCCACAATGGTTGAACTGGTTTACAATCCCACCAACAGTGTAAAAATGTTCCTATTTCTCCACATCCTCTCCAGCACCTGTTGTTTCCTGATTTTTAATGATCACCATTCTAACTGGTGTGAGATGGTATCTCATTGTGGTTTTGATTTGCATCTCTCTGATGGCCAGTGATGATGAGCATTTTTTCATGTGTCTTTTGGCTGCATAAATGTCTTCTTTTGAAAAGTGTTTGTTCCTATACTTTGCCCACTTTTTGATGGCGTTGTTTGTTTTTTTCTTGTCAATTTGTTTGAGTTCATTGTAGATTCTGGATATTAGCCCTTTGTCAGATGAGAAGATTGCAAAAATGTTCTCCCATTCTGTAGGTTGTCTGTTCACTCTGATGGTAGTTTCTTTTGCTGTGCAGAAGCTCTTTAGTTTAATTAGATCCCATTTGTCAATTTTGGCTTTTGTTGTCATTGCTTTTGGTGTTTCAGACATGAAGTCCTTGCCCATGCCTATGTCCCGAGTGGTATTGCTTAGGTTTTCTTCTAGGGTTTTAATGGTTTAAAGTCTAACATTTAAGTCTTTAATCCATCTTGAATTAATTTTAATATAAGGTGTGAGGAAGGAATCCAGTTTCAGCTTTATGCATATGGCTAGCCAGTTTTCCCAACACCATTTATTAAATAGGGAATCGTTTCCCCATTTCTTGTTTTTGTCAGGTTTGTCAAAGATCAGGGAGTTGTAGATGTGTGGCATTATTTCTGAGGGTTCTGTTCTGTTCCATTGGTCTATATGTCTGTTTTGGTACCAGTACCATACTGTTTTGGTTACTGTAGCCTTGTAGCATAGTTTGAAGTCAGGTAACATGATGCCTCTAGCTTTGTTCTTTTGGCTTAGGATTTTCATGGCAATGCAGGCTCTTTTTTGGTTCCATATGAGCTTTAAAGTAGTTTTTTCCAATTATGAGAAAGTCATTGGTAGGTTGATGGGGATGGCATTGAATCTATAAATTACCTTGGACACTATGACCATTTTCACAATATTGATTCTTCCTATCCATGAGCATAGAATATTCTTCCATTTGTTTGTATCCTCTTTTATTTCATTGAGCAGTGGTTTGTAGTTCTCCTTGAAGAGGTCCTTCATGTCCCTTGTAAGTTGGATTCCTAGGTATTTTATTCTCTTTCTAGCAATTGTGAATGGGAGTTCACTCATGATTTGTCTCTCTGTCTGTTATTGGTGTGTAAGAATGCTTGTGATTTTTGCACGTTGATTTTGTAACCTGAGACTTTGCTGAAGTTGCTTATCAGCTTAAGGAGATTTTGGGTTTAGACTATGGGGTTTTCTAGATATACAATCATGTCATCTGCAAACAGGGACAATTTGACTTCCTCTTTTCCTAATTGAATACCCTTTATTTCCTTCTCCTGCTTGATTGTCCTGGCCAGTAATTACAACAGTATGTTGAATAGAAGTGGTGAAAGAGAGCATCCCTGTCTTGTGCCAGTTTTCAAAGGGAATGCTTCCGGTTTTTGCCCATTTAGTATGATATTGGCTGTAGGTTTGTCATAAATAGTTCTTATTATTTTGGGATACATCCCATCAGTACCTAATTTATTGAGAGATTTTAGCATGAAGGGCTGGTGAATTTTGTCAAAGGCCTTTTCTGCATCTATTGAGGTAATCATGTGGTTTTTGTCATTGGTTCTGTTTATATGCTGGATGACATTTATTGATTTATGTATGTTGAACCAGTCTTGCATCCGAGGGATGAAACCCACTTGATCATGGTGGACAAGCTTTTTGTTGTGCTGCTGGATTCAGTTTGCCAGTATTTTATTGAGGATTTTTGCATCAATGTTCATCAGGGATATTGGTCTAAAATTCTCTTTTTTTATTGTGTCTCTGCCAGGCTTTGGTATCAGGATGATGCTGGCCTCATAAAATGAGTTAGGGAGGACTCCCTTTTTTTCTATTGATTGGAATAGTTTCAGAAGAAATGGCACCAACTCCTCCTTGTACCTCTGGTAGAATTTGGCTGTGAATCCATCTGTTCCTGGACTTTTTTTGGTTGGTAAGCTATTAATTATTGCCTCAATTTCAGAGCCTGTTACTGGTCTATTCAGACATTCAACTTCTTCCTGGTTTAGTCTTGGGAGGTTGTATGTGTCAAGGAATTTATCCATTTCTACTAGATTTTCTAGTTTATTTGCATAGAGGTGTTTATAGTATGCTCTGATGGTAGTTTGTATTTCTGTGAGATTGGTGGTGATATCCCCTTTATCTTTGTTTATTGCATGTATTTTATTCTTCTCTCTTTTCTTCCTTATTAGTCTTGCTAGTGGTCTATCAATTTTGTTGATCTTTTCTAAAAAACCAGCTCCTGGATTCATTGATTTTTTGAAGGGTTTTTTGTGTCTCTATTTCCTTCACTTCTGCTCTGATCTTAGTTATTTCTTGCCTTCTCCTAGCTTTTGAATGTATTTGCTTTTGCTTCTCTAGTTCTTTTAATTGTGATGTTAGGTTGTCAGTTTTAGATCTTTCCTGCTTTCTCTTGTGGGCATTTAGTGCTATAAATTTCCCTCTACACACTGCTTTGAATGTGTCCCAGGGATTCTGGTATGTTGTGTCTTTGCTCTCATTGGTTTCAAAAAACATCTTTATTTCTGCCTTCATTTCTTTATGTACCTGGTAGTCATTCAGGAGCAGGTTGTTGGGTTTCCATGTAGTTGAGTGGTTTTGAATGAGTTTCTTAATCCTGAGTTCTAGTTTGATTGCACTGTGGTCTGAGAGACAGTTTGTTATAATTTCTGTTGTTTTACGTTTGCTGAGGAGTGCTTTACTTCCAACTATGTGGTCAATTTTGGAATAAGTGCTATGTGGTGCTGAGAAGAATGTATATTCTGTTGATTTGGGGTGGAGACTGAACAGAGAGTTACCCACATATTTATAAACAGCTAACAAGTCATTAGCACTGTTTCTATAGATATTAAATTAACTGAAAGTATCCCTTATGGGAAACGAAGGGGTGGGCCGAATTAAAGGAATAGGTTGGGCTTGTTAACTGCAGCAGAAGCATGTCTTTAAGGCATAGATTGCTCATACTATTGTTTGTGGCTTAAGAATGTCTTTAAGTGGTTTTCCACCCTGGGCGGGCCAGGTGTTCTTTGCCCTCATTCCTGTAAACCCACAACCTTCCAGCTTGGGCATTAGGGCCATTATCAACATGTTACAGTGCTGCAGAGATTTTGTTTATGGCCAGTTTTGGGGCCAATTTATGGCCAGATTTTTGGGGGCCTGCTCCCAACAATGCAGTGTTTGGTTTTCTCTTCTTGTGTTACTCTGCTGAGAATGATGGTTTCCAGTTTCATCCATGTCCCTGCGAAGGACATTAACTCATCCTTTTTTATGGCTGCATAGTATTCCATGGAGTATATGTGCCACATTTTCTTTATCGAGTCTACCATTGATGGGCATTTGGGTTGGTTCTAAGTCTTTACTGTTGTGAACAGTGCTGCAATAAACATACTTGTGCATGTGTCTTTATAGTAGAAAGATTTATAATCTTTTAGGTATATACCCAGCAATGGGATTGCTGGGTCAAATGGTATTTCTAGTTCTAGATCCTTGAGGAATTGCCACACTGTCTTCCACAATTGTTGAACTAATTTACATTCCCACCAACAGTGTAAAAGCGTTCCTATTTCACCACTGGGTTGTAAATTTTTTTCTTTAAGAATGTTGAATATTGGCTCCCACCCTCTTCTGGCTTGTAGGGTTTCTGCAGAGAGATCTGCTGTTAGTCTGATGGGCTGTTCTTTGTGGGTAACCTGACTTTTACCTCTGGCTGCCATTAACACTTTTTCCTTCATTTCAACCTTGGTGAATCTGACGATTATGTGTCTTTGGGTTGCTCTTCTTGAGGAATATCTTTGTGGTGTTCTCTGTATTTCCTGAATTTGGATGTTGGCCTGCCTTGCTAGGTTGGGGAAGTTCTTCTGGATAATATCCTGAGGAGTGTTTTCCAACTTGGTTCCATTCTCCCCATCACTTTCAGGTACACCAACCAAGCATAGAATTGGTATTTTCACATAGTCCCATATTTCTTGGAGGCTTTGTTCATTTCGTTTCACTCTTTTTTCTCTAATCTTGTCTTCTTGCTTTATTTCATTAAGTTGATCTTCAATCACTGATATCCTTTTTTCCACTTGATTGATTCAGGTATTGAAACTTGTGTATGCTTCACAAAGATCTTGTGCTGTGTTTTTCAGCTCCATCAGGTCATTTAAGCTCTTCTCTACATTTGTTATTCCAGTTAGCCATTCCTCTAACCTTTTTTCAAGTTTTTTAGCTTCCTTGCATTGGCTTAGAACATGCTTGTTTAGCTTGGAGGAGTATGTTATTACCCACCTTCTGAAGCCTACTTCTGTCAATTTGTCAAACATATTCAAACTCCATCCAGCTTTGTTCCCTTGTTTACGAGAAGTTGTGTTCCTTTGGAGGAGAAGAGGCATTCTGATTTTTGGAATTTTCAGCCTTTCTGCACTGGTTTCTCCCCATCTTTGTGGTTTTATCTACCTTTGGTCTTTGATGTTGGTGACCTACGGATGGGGTTTTGGTGTGGATGTCCTTTTTGTTGATGTTGATGGTATTCCTTTCTGTTTGTCAGTTTTCCTTCTAACAGCCAGGACCCTCAGCTACAGGTCTGTTGGAGTTTGCTGGAGGTCCACTTTGGACCCTGTTTTCCTCAGTATCACCAGCAGAAGCTGCAGAACAGCAACTATTGCTGCCTGATCCTTCCTCTGGAAGCTTAGTCCCAGAGGGTCACTCACCAGATGCCAGCAAAAGTTCTCCTGTATGAGGTGACTGTTGGCCCCTACTGGGAGATGTCTTCCAGTCAGGCTACACTGGGGTCAGGGACCCACTTGAGGAAGCAGTCTGTCCATTATCAGAGCTCAAAGGCTGAGCTGGCAGAACCACTGCTATCTTCAGAGCTGTCATGCAGAGATGTTTAAGTCTGCTGAAGCTGTGCCCCTGCTGTCCCTTCCCCCAGGTGCTCTGTCCCATGGAGATGGGGGTTTTATCTATAAGTCCCTGACTGAGGCTGCTGCCTTTTGTTCAATGATGCCCTGCCCACAGAGGTGGAATCTAGGAGGCAGTCCACCTTGCTGAGCTGTGGTGGGTTCTGCCCAGTTCAAACTTCCCAGCAGCTTTGTTTACACTGAAGCATAAAACCACCTACTCAAGCCTCAGCAATGGCAGGTGCCTGTCCCCCAACCAAGCTCAAGCATCCCAGGTCAATCTCATACTGCTGCACTAGCAGTGAGAATTTCAAGCCAATGGATCTTAGCTTGCTGGGCTCTGTGGGCCTGGGACCCACCAACCCAGGCACTGGAGGGAATCTCCTGGTCTGCCAGTTGCCAAGACCATGGGAAAAGCACAGTGTCTGGGCAGCAATGTACCATTCCTCCTGGTACAGTCTCTCACAGCTTCCCTTGGCTAGGAAAGGGAAGTTCCCTGACTCCTTGCACTTCTTGGGTGAGGCGACACCCTGCCCTGCTTTGGCTTGTCCTCTGTGGGCTGCACCCACTGTCCAACCAGTCCCAATGAGATGAACCAGGTACCACAGTTGGAAATGCAGAAATCACCTGCCTTCTGCATCGATCTCACTGGGAGCTGCAGACTGGAGCTGTTCTTATTCCACTGTACACCTTTTCTTAGGTCTAGTAGTATTTGTTTTATGTATCTGGGTGCTCTCATGTTGGGTGCTTATATATTTGTGATTGTTATAAGTTCTTCTTGAATTTATACCTTGTCATTAGATAACCTCTTTGTCTTTTTTTTACTGTTGTTTACTTCAAAGTCTGTTATATTTGATATAAATATCGCTACTCCCGCTCACTTTGGGTTTTTATTTGCATGGAATATATTTTCCCACACATTTACCTTGAGGCTGCAAATGGTCTTCAACAATTATGTGGGTTTGTAATAAGCAGCATCTGGTTGAATTGTTTATTTTTTATTTTTTTTTGAGATGGAGTCTCGCTCCATCTCCCAGTCTGGAGTGTTGTGGCACGATCTCCACTCACTGCAATCTCCACCTCGCAGGTTCAAGCGATTCTCCTACCTCAGCCTCCCAAGTAGCTGGGATTACAGATGTGTGCCACCACACTCAGATAATTTTTGTATTTTTAGTAGAAACAGGGTTTCACCATGTTGGACAGGCTGGTCTCAAACTCCTGACCTCAGGTGATCCACCTGCCTTGGCTTCCCAAAGTGCTGGGATTATAGGCATAAGCCACTGCACCTGGCCTGGATTTTTTTTTTAAATCCCTTCCACCAGTCTATATCCTTTAAGTGGAGCATTTAATCATTTACGTTCACAGTTGATATTGATATGTGAGTTTTTGTTCCTGTCATAATGGTAATTATTACCTAATGGCTTTGTAGTTTCAGTTGTGTAACTGCTTTATAAGACCTGTAAATTTTATACTTTTGTATGCTTTATGATGATGAATATGTTAGACCATTCTTACATAGCTGTAAAGGAATACCTGGGACAGGGTGATTTATAAACAAAAGAGGTTTAATTGGCTCACAGTTCTTCAGGCTGAACAAGCATGGCATTGGCATCTTCTTGACTTCTTGGGAGGTTTCAGGGAGCTTTTACTCATGGTGGAAGGTGAAGCAGGAGCAGGCATGTCATACGCCAGAGCAGGAGCAAAGTTGGGGGAAGATGCCACAGACTTTAACATAACCTGGTCTCATGAGAACTCACTATCACGAGGACATCACCAAGTCATGAGGGATACACCTTCATGACCCAAACACCTTTCATTAGACCCCACCTCCAACATTGGGGGTGACATTTCAACATAAGATTTGGGTGGGGACAAATATCAAAACTATATCATTCCACCCCATCCCCCCCAATCTCATGTTTTTATCATGCTGCAAAATACAATCATTCCTTCCCAAAAGTCCCCAAAGTCTTAATTCATTCCAGCATTAACTCAAAGTACCAAGTCCAAGTCCATAGTCTCATCTGGAGATTAGTTTCTTCCATCTTCAAGCCTGTAAAATCAAAACGGGTTATGTACTTCCAAGAAACAACAGTAGTACAGGCATTGGGTAAACATTCCCTTTATAAAAGGGAGAAATCAGCCAAAAGAAAGGAGCTATAGGCCCCATGCAATTTCAAAGCCCAGCAAGGCAGTCATTAAGCTTTAAAACTCCCAAATACTCTCCTTTGACTCTATGTCCCACATCCAGGGCACAGTGTTGTGAGGAGCGGGCTCCCAAAGCCTTGGGCTACTCTTCCCTGTGGCTTTTCCATGCTAAGGTTGCAAGCTCAAACATTCTGGGTTCTGGAGTGTAGCAGCTCCCTTCCTACAGCTCCACTAGTCTGTGCCCTAGTAGAGACTCTGTGTGGGGCCTCATTAGAGGTTCTCTGCAAGGGCTCCACCCCTGCAGCAGCCTTCTGCCTGGGCACCTAGGCTTTCTCGTGCATTTTCTGAAATGTAGATGGAGGCTGCCAAGCCACCTTCACTCTTGCACTCTGTGTACCAGCAGACTTAATACCACATGGAAGCTGCCAAAGCTTATGGCTTGTGCCCTCTAGAGTGGCAACCTGAGCTGTGCCAGGATCCCTTTGAGCTGTGGCAGAAGCTGGAGCAGCCTGGGATGTGGGGAGCAGTGTCCATTGCTAGAGACGTAGTGTGATCCTTTGGGTGTATTGCAACACTCTTTTTTTCTATGGTCCCAGAAATCTTAGGCTGGTTTCTTTTTGGATTTACTTTTGTTTGGATAGAACTTTATTCCCCTCTTGAGGGTGTGACTATAGGATATATTGTGTAGGGTCCTTTGACTTTGTTTCTGGGTACTTTCAGGGAGCCAAATCTATGAATTTTTTGATGATACATAGCCTTAGTGTAATGGTTTTCTCAAATACTATTGTTTGTATGTTGTAGCAGCAGTGGATTGGGCATGTGAGAAGGATCACTGCCTCCTGCAGAGATGAGCAGGGGGAAGTCTCTTATTTTATTCCCCAGCACTGTGCACTTCTGTCAGCAGAGATTGTATTGGGTTGTTTAGTTTTACCTCCAGGTCAGTAGGTGGCACTTGCAGATATGAGCCAGCTGAGCACTGTGCAGTTGTGTGGGCAGTTTAATAAGCTGTGAAGGTTGACTTCCAAACCAATATGTGGCATTTCCAGGAGAGAGGGAGCAGTGGGATTTTTCCTTGGATTTTGTTCATTACAGAAGCTCTGGGTGTCTCATGTAAGGGGTGGGGCCATGGAACTCCCAGGACTCCCTGTCCTATGCTCTGCTGCTGCAGTGGTTGGATGGGGCAAAGCCAGGCATGGCTGGGTCTGGGAAGTCCTGGACCAGGCTCTCCAAGGCTGGTGCAAGTGCTGATTCTGCTGGGGGTTTGGGGTCAGGTCTCAGGCTACCAGGGCAACCCTCCAGGAAGGGGCAGAGGCATTTCTGCTGCATCAAAGCACCTTTGTGCTAGGGGGAGGGGTGGCCATGAATCAGCAGCTGGAAGTGGCAGTGGGACCTGCTCTGCCCCCAAACCTCCAACCTCATGGGTTTCCCTACAGCCTTAGGCCACCAGCAGCTGGCCAGGACCACTAGGCCCATCCTAATCTGTCTGTGTTCAGATGGCAAAGCCTCCCCAGGCCATGAAACTCCCTGTCTGGGGCAGAAACTTTGGCTGTCAGGCCACATCCTTCCTGGTCTGGTCCTATGAAGGGAGGAGTACCCAGCTCCTGTGCCACGATATGAACCCACACCACACTCTCCTCTCACTTCTGACTGTGGGGGGCTCCAGGTCAGATCACAAGTCTCATCTCCATGCTCCTGGATGGCATGCTGGAATTGTGCAGGGATAGGACCAGGCCAACAGCCTTGTCTTCGGGATCCCTGGACTCAAGTGCTGGTGGTGATAGGCAGGGCAAGTTGGTCCCTGGCCACTAGAAAAACACTCATGTAGGGCAACAGTGGCTGCACTGTGGGTCTGCCACTTGGAAGGGTGGTCCTCTCTCCATAGGAATGGCTAGGCAGGCAGATTTGGGAGAGACTGGCAGGCATGAGGCATGTGGTCCAAATGACCTCAGTCCAACAGCAGAAGCAGTGGAACCTCTCCTCGAGGGATGTGAGAGCACCTGGCCTCCCCTCTCACTACCTGGCCCAGCAGCCAGTAGTGGCAGTGGCAGCCTCAGGACAGGACAGAGATCCATGGGGAATGGGCTCCCAGAATGGCACCATGCTGCAGCTGCCCAGTGCTTGGAAGCCTATGAGACTCCATGTAAGTTTGAGAAGCACCTCTGCACAATCTCCAGGCAGCTCTCTATGCCAGTCTGGAGGCTTATGGGGGTTGAGGGAATCTCCTGTATCTAGGATTGTAGAAGTCTGCAGCAGAAATGTGGAGCTCTGGGGTTCCTTCACTTACCCCTTCTTTGGGTCTGGGGCAGCTCTTGGCTCCTAGCAACCCCAAACAGGCAGCCCCATATCTCCTTCCTTCACCTTCTGTGTCTCCTGTTGCCTCTCTGTTGAATTCCAGTGCTCTTTCTCAGATGATCTATTTAAAGTGTGAATATCGACTCGATATTTTGGTTCCTCTCTGTGGAAGAGGTGCACCTCAGCCGAATCTAGTCAGTGATCTTGTAGTTGCATATTTTGTAATTGTAAATTTTTAATACCATGTAGCATCTCATAAATGTATTAGTTTTAATAGTTTATAAATTTTGATTTGCTACACCCACAAAATTATTGTATGCAAATAATGACAGTTTAAAATTTTTCCTAGTCATTTTTATCAATGGCACTTATTTCTTTTCTTTGCCTTATTGCACTGGTTAGATTCTCCAGCACAATGTGGAATATATGTAATTATAATGGATAGTTTTGCATTGTTCCTGACTCCCAGAGAAAGTTTTTAGTATTTTCTCATTAAGAACGATGTTGGCTGTAGGGTGTTTGTTAATAGGCTTTATCCTACTGAGGAAGTTCTATTCCTAGTTTTCTTAAACTTTTTAAAAATCATGAACATATGTTAAATCCTATCAAGTTTTTTCTCTATTTATTGAATTGATCATATTTTTTTCTACTTAATTTTGTTCATGCAGTGAATTATATGAATTGATTTTTTTTTTTTTTTTTGAGACAAGGTCTCACTCAGTTGCCCAGGCTGGAGGGCAGTGACACAATCACCAATCACTGCAGCCTTAACTTCCTGGGCTCAAGCGATCCTCCCACCTCAGCCTACCAAGTAGCTGGAACTATGGTGCATGCCGCCACACCCGGGTAATTAAAAATTTTTTGGTATAGATGGGGTTCTCAATATTTGCCCCAGCTGGTCTTGAACTCCTGAGATCAAGCGATCTGCCCACCTCAGCCTCCCAAAGTGCTGGGATTACAGGTGTGAGCCACTGCATGTGGCCATGAATTGATTTTGAATGTGAAATCAACATTTCATTCCTGGGACAAAACTTACTTGCTCGTGATACATTATTATTTTTATATATGGCTGTATTTTATTTGCTAAATATTGGGTTCAGAATTTTTGTGACTGTGTTAATGAGAGATATTTATCTGATATTTTTTCTTGTAATGCCCTTTTTCATTTTCTCTAATCCCTGAAAATGTTGATATAAAATTGGTAGTATTTTTTAAAAGTGATATGTAGAATTCACTGATAAAGCTACAGGGATATAATCTTGGTATTTTTGGGAGAAGTCAGGGGAAAATTTTTCAAGTGTGAATTTAGCACATGTATGTTATTCAGGTTTTGCTTGTGTGTGTGTGCGTGTGTGTGTGTGTGTGTTTAGAAAGTTGTGTTTTTCCAAAGAAATGATAAATGTCTGAGATAATGGATATGCTAATTACCCTGAATTAATCACTATACATTATATGTATCAAAATGTCACTATTTACCCCATAAATATGTACAATTATTATTTGTTAATAAAAATTAAAAGTTGCTTAGTACAAATGTTTTAAATTTGCATTTCTCCAGTTACTAATGAAGTTGAAATTTTTTCATACATTTATTGACCATTCATTCTTCTTTTGGAAATTGTTCTTTTCCTTTGCCCATTTTGTAGCTGAATGATTTGTAATTAACTTGTAAGACTCTTTGCATATGGAGGATGCATATATTTCCTTTATTCAATCGAAATATTGTTTTTACAGACATTTTTGAATGACAAAAAATAGAAAGCTGTGTTTTTCAAAGCAGAGGTCCATTTCTTTTAAACTGGCAAGGACATTAGCAAAATTCATTTGTAATGGCCTTTTATTATCTTGTTAATCTACAGCATAGCCTTTTCACTGCTGATTCTCATAATTTTTTTTCCTTATATTTTAAAACCAATTTTGCTAAGGACATGAGTTTTATTAATTTTTACACAAAATCAACCCTAGTCTTTATGTATTTTCTCTATTTTTAAATTAATTTTATTTCAAGTATATCTGTCTTCTACTTACTGTTCATATTATACCATGTTTTATGCATTTATTTTGCTCTACTATTTCTAGCTTCTGGAGATGAAAGCTTAGTTCATTTCCTTTAATCTTTTTTATTTTCTAGTACTTGCATTTAAAGCTATATATTTCTCTCTGAGCAATTCTTTAGCTGCATCTAGTATTTTTTTTTGTTTGTTTTTACCACCTTTAAGTTAAAATTCATTAAAAATTTTTCATTGGCACTTCTTTAATATATGAATAATTTAGAATTGTGTTGCTTGATTTGTAAATAATTGGGGGATGTTTAGTTATACTTTTGTTATAAATTTTTAGTTGAAGCTTACTATTATCAGATATGTGTTCTGTATGGTTTAGTCCTTTGAAATGTATTGCATCTTGTACTGTGGCCCAGTGTATTTTCTATTGTGGTGTACATTCCATGAGCACTTAGAGATAAGTAGAATAATCCTACATTTGTTTTCTCTTTCCCCACTCCCTTACTAATACACCTTCAGCTAACCTGACTGAAACTGTGTGATAAACTGATGACTTTTTAGGGAAGAACATTGCTTTATTTGCATTCAAATAAAGTTTTCTTGATTTGTTCTGAAGTTAACGTTTATCATCTTCTGGGAGTGAGTTCAGATGCCATCTGCAATGCCACAGATAAACCTTTCACAGTTGAGTTTAAACTTGAGTCTAGTTATAGGTCTAGAAGCAAAGAGGGATGATGAAGATGGGTCTTGAGGGAAATCAACATTGTTTTGCTGGGGAACTGCTTCAGGGAAGGACATATAATTTCCTCAGGCAATGCAAGGTTAAACCTTCAGTAGGGGTGAAGAGGTTTCTTCTGCTAAGGGTGAAGGAAAGGCTCTACTCGAGGTGGGGAGGCCTCTTCCGCTGGCAAAGTAGGCTTATCTTTTCTCTGTTCAATCTTCTGAGTATCCTCCTTCTGAAGCAGAAACATAGTTTCATCCATGACTCTTTTCTCTCTAATCTTCATCCTATATCAAGTTATTTTCCTTAAAATTCATTAATGTATCTTAAACTGTCTCTATTACTCTGTGTTAGTTTGGGTTTCTTAGATGCAGATCTGAGATTGAGAATTTTTACAAAAGTGATTTATAAGGAGAAGAGTTTGAGGGAAGCTAACTATGGTAGAGGGAAGAAAGGACATGATCTCAACTGGAGTCAGGCTTCAGATGTCAGGCTTCAGATGTGGTCTCAATTGAAGTCTGCCTTGAGTCTGGAGCCATTGAAGCTCTGGAGGATACATCGTATTATACAACAACCTTTTAAACTTTCGTGTCTGTTAGTCATTGGCCACTGCTGGGCCTTGACAGTGGGCATAATCTTCTGAGTGTGGCACCTCCCATTTTCTGTGGTGCAATTGTCCAGGGAAGGGTGGGGCTGTGAGCTGTTAGCAGCCCAGACACAGCAGGTGGGGCATGAGTTCACTTACCAGGCAAAAGGCATTTGAGCTGGATGCAACAGTGTCCCTAACACTCGGCATCTCTTGGGAGTCACCAAAGTTCAGACCCCCATTTATTCACACTTAAATCATTATAATTACCTCCTGGTTGCTCTTCTCTTTGGAGGCTTGACCCTTCAATCCATTTTCCATACTGTAGCTAGAGTTATCCTTCCCAAAACAAATCCAACTACATTTCTTGCTAGTTTAAAAGTACTTTCACTATTTTCTCCATGGTACTTAGTATTTAGTTTTAACAGAATTATGAGACCCTTTTTGATCTTACCAAGATCCTACTTTACAGCTCCATGTCTTGTATTTTCCCTTTTACAATCTCGGTATCCTACACCAGCACACAATGGGGGTTCAATAAATAATTGTTGAATTAATAGATAAATTGATAATTACAGTGATAGTGAATTGTTTGGGTTTCCTGCTGATTGTTTCTCACCTTCTGGCCTTTGTTACTTATTTCCTCTCATAGATGCACTCTTAGCTCAACCTTGTGCCTACTCATTCTGCGGACTCTTTTTCTCCCTTTGGCTTCTGTTTTTTTTTTTTTTCTTTCTTTCTTTTTCTTTTTTGAGACAGAGTCTTGTTCCGTCAGCCAGGCTGGAGTGCAGTGGCGAGATCTTGGTTCACTGAAACCTCTGCCTCCTGGGTTCAGGTGATTCTTCTGCCTCAGCCTCCCAAGTAGTTGGGACTACAGACATGCGCCACCACGCCCAGCTAATTTTTGTATTTTTAGTAGAAACAGCGTTTCTCCATGTTGGCCAGGCTGGTCTAGAGCTCTTGACCTCAAGTAATCCACCCTCCTTGGCCTCCCAAAGTGCTGTGATTACAGGCGTGAGCCACTGTGCCTGGTCAGCTTCTGTTTTTGATGTCTTTTCATCTAGGAATCCTTTTTAGATCTCCTAGGTCTTTGTTGTGTGTCCTTCTAACATGCTTTCACAGCACTCTGTAATTCCATGATCTTACTATTTATAGTATTAGGTTGTAATTCTCTGTTCTCTTCTTGAAGTGTCTCAGAGTATCCTAACTTTTGTGAAAAGAGGACCCTGGTTTCTCTTTATTCACCACTAAGCCCCAGGAACTATCAATGTGCCTGATACATTCCTGGGGATAAAAAGTATTTGTTGATTAAGGAATAAAGCATGCAAGGAATAAGTGGAATACAGTTATTCTGAAATTGCTTTGTGTGTAGCTATATAATTTGAAAAACAGCTTTTAGACTGGGTGTGGTGGCTCACACCTGTAATCCAGCATTTTGGGAGGCTAAGGTTGGCAGATCATGATGTCAGGAGATCAAGACCATCCTGGCCAACATGGTGAAACCCCATCTGTACTAGCCAGGCATGGTGGCAGGTGCCTGTAGTCCCAGCTGCTCACTAGGCTGAGACAGGAGAATCACTTGAACCCGGGAGGCGGAGGTTGCAGTGAGCCAAGATCGTGCCACTGTGCTCCAGCCTGGCAACAGAGAGCGACTCCGTCTCAAAAACAAAAAACAAATGAAACAGCTTTTAATATGAAAATGTTACCAAAAAGCAAACTGATTAATAGAAAAATATAAACAGCCCATATACATAAGATAATACAATTTTACTGGGGGTAGGAAAAATATCAAGATAAACTATATGTTCATATGCTGAGAATGCAGTTTCAATTTCTTTCTCATTGTTTCAATAAGAGTGAAAAAATGTGATTTCCCTATGAGTTCCAACCAGAATTCTTAGTCTGAAGGTAGAAAATACTTTCCTAGCCTCCACTACTACTTTTGCTTTATATTTTATTGAATTTATTCATTTTCATTAATCCTTTTATTCATTGATTCTGTTTATGGTATACCAGACGTGGTACCTTGTAGGAACTATTGTTATCTATCGGGCAAGTACTTTATGGATTATAACTGTATATTCAATAAATAGAAATTTCTCCTTGATATCAAAACATCTTTATTTGAACCATCACTCTTTCTGGTCGATTATCAGTATAAAAAGGGTAACATGAATAATAGAAAATGGTTCTGAAGCCTACAAGGACATTTGAAATCATGGTATAAACTTCATTGTTTACCCATCAGATGCTAAATAGATTTTTGCTTTTATAGCCCTGAAGTAGTTAGATAGCATAATATTTCAGAAAACAATGGCCATCAGTTTTGATATATAAAAATGAAACAATTATTAATGAAAAACTTATATTTTTAATGAACTAACATATACAATGTGTCCAGCTAGTCCTTGTCTCAATAAATGATAGCTGTTATCATGATCTGATATTTCTATCATCATTGCTTGGCAGGGTATCATGGTAGTTAAGCATATGGTTTGGGAAATCAGTGAGATTCTGGTTACTGTCTATTTTATATTTCTATTTTAACACTGTCCCCTTCTCTCAGTTTCCTCTTTGGTAAATGGGGATAAGAATAATGCCTCCCTCAGTTTGTTATGGACATTATTACTTAATATAGATATATTTATTTTATTACTTATTTTACATTTATTAGAAGGAAGGCCTATGAGTTTCATATATATGGATGAAGCTAGTGAAACTAAGCCCCGAATCGGTAGAATTTTCCCAGTTTGTGAGAATGATACATGGTTAGGTTTTCTCCTTTTTCCTGAACCCATTTTGACTCCCCTCAAGGCATCATCTATGGATCACAGTGGTTAATTATTTTATTTATCAAATAAGTATTCCTTGCTGGCATTACCCAAAATGTCCTTTTGACCCTTGCCTCAGCTGAATCATGTTGGGCTCCAGTCACATTTATTTGACACTTGAAATAGCTTTCCTACTACACAATTTCCTAATGGCATTTTTCATTTGAGCATTCCTCAAGGTGTAGATTAAGGGGTTTAACATAGAAGTTATCATAGTGTAGAATACAGCAACTGCTTTATCAATGGGTAAAGTAGCTGGAGGTCTCATGTACACAAATATGCAGGGTATAAAGGATAAGATGACAACTGTGATGTGGGAGACACAGGTAGAGAGGGCTTCGTGCCTTGCCTCTAAGCTGTGGGTCTTTAAGGAGTACAGTATGACCACGCAGGAGACCAGGAGCAAGAGACAGTTTAACAGGCATATGAACCCACTGTTGGCAGCAATGAAGAGTCCTAGAGTGTGGGTATTAGTGCAGGCAAGATTGATCAAAGTGTAGAGATCACACATAAAGTGATCTATGACATTAGGACCACAGAAAGGTAATTGACAGATGAAGAGGATCTGTATGGTTGCATGAAGAAAGCCTCCTACCCATGACACTCCCACTAGCAGGCTACAAACATGCTGCTTCATGACGGTGGTATAGTGCAAGGGCTTGCAGATGGCCACATAGTGGTCATAGGCCATTACAGTAAGTAGGATGACCTCAACACCTCTGAAAAAATGTTCTCCAAAGACTTGAGTCATACATCCATTGAATAAGATAGTCTTGTTTTCATAGAGTGAATCTGTGATCAGCTTAGGGGTATTGACAGAGGAATAGCAGGCATCAATAAAGGAGAGATAGGCCAGGAAAAAGTACATGGGGGATCTCAGTGATGGGCTGGCAGTGATGGTGACCACAATGAGCACATTTCCTATCATGGCGTTGATGTAGATGACAGAAAACACAACAAATATGATTTTCTGCATTTTTGGATTCTCTGTAAGCCCCAATAGAATAAACTCTGTCACATTGTTTCTATTCGCCATGTATTTCAAATGATGGTTAATTACATTACCTGAAAAGAAAACAATTTTTATTAATACATCTTTAAATTTGTTAAACTTCTCCACTGTAATATGTAATATAATAAATTCTTGGATTCTACTGGGTTGTGATTTGAGGATCTTTTCTGAGATAGGAAAAAGTTTTGAGTTTTGGAGGTTTACTCAAATTGCCTCCCTGGTGAAGACTGTGCTGAGAGTTTTGACATGAGAAACTTTTGTAGCACACAGGCAGGAGACCATCTGTGAACACTTAATCATCTGAAATGACTGAAAGTTGAATGATTGCACACATAGTGGCAACTAAGCCTGAAAAGATTATAGAATATAGATGTAAAGCATATGAATGCAAAGCTCAAAATTTGCTCTCTCTCTTTTTTTTTTTTAGAAAATAATGAAATGTGAAATGTCATGCACAATATGAGTGAAATGATAAAGAGGAATCTGAAGAAGGGGGATTCTTGGGATATTTCTCTAGTGAAGGTCTTTGTGTGTTTTTTATGATGTGGGCTGAGATCCAGTAAGGAGCTGGAAGCCAGATAATGGAACTTAGCAGACTATTTGTAGAAGTTGACATAAGAATAACAGTGCATTTGTGATGAAAATGTAAAGAAAGAATACAAGAGCTACTATAAAAGAATTCATAATCTATTGTCTAAGTCCTATTAACTTTATAATAGCTAATAATATACACCTCTGAATAATTGCTATGAGCATGACATTGTAGATTGTGCTTTGCACACATGATCTCATTTTATCAATTTTACAGATGAGGACACAATCTCAGTGACTAATGTTAATAGTTATAGTGTTAACATTAACTAATATTTACTGAACACAGCATGTTTCAAGTGCTTTTACAGACATTTGCTTATTGAATCCTCACTGAAAACCTATGTATTAGTTACTATTGTCTTTTTACACTTATTTTACACATTAGGAAATAGAAGCACATAGAAATTAAGGTTCTTCCCAAGATCGAGCAGATAATCAAGGCTGGACCTAATATTAAGTTTCAGATTATGCTTGTTAATTGTTTCCCCCTAAGTCTTAACTCATGCCTTATATTGTTGTAATAAACAATGTTGAACTGGTAATTTCCCTTTGATATGGCCATAATTTTTATAATTACTTTAATACAACTTCAGAGACAAGTTTATATGAGTAACTTCATCAGCAGACAGACACACACACACAATGATATATTGAAACTCCTAAATATTAAGAAAAATGTGGTATTACATTCATTGAAGGGCTGTTTTTGCTTAGCCTCTCCCTCAGCCCTATGCATTCCTCCTTGATCCCCTTGCAAAGCATGGGACCCTAGCCAGAAACTTCTGCAAAGTGTTAAAAAACATTATCACAATAGTTAAGTGTGTTAGTTTGAGAATCAGAAAGACCAGATTAGAATCCTCGTTTTTCCACCTATAACTTCTTTTACCTGGGGTATATTTCTTGGCACCTTACATCTTAATCTTATCATCCATAAAATGATAATATTCACCTCACATACTGTTATGCGAATTAATTGGGAGAACTATATGAATATATCTACCCTACTGTTAGGGACATATACAGGACTTTCATTTATTTTTATGGCTGTATAAGCCTAGGAGACAGGATAAATTGACAATGTGATCAATATAATACAGAGAAACATTTGACCACACATTAAGCTCATAAAGAAAGGTCTCCAATTTTCCTTTTACAGGGCTTTATATTATTCATAGCAAGTGATCCCAGTAAAGCTTCTCCATGTTTGTGCTTGGACTAATCAGCTGATGATTTGCCATTTAATATTCATATTTATGTCTTTTGTGTGTGTGAAGTGTATTTAAATTTTGTTTTAGTCCTCATAACTTGTCTCATTCACTAAGGAGGTGTCTCATGGCAAAACATGGTACCCGATATCAGAGAGATGGGTTCTACAAATTGCTTAATCTCTATAAGCCTCAAATATTTCAACTGTCAAATTAGGTTAATGATATTTACCAACTACCTTTTGAATAATTGGAGTGAGAATGCAAGACTCTATTACTCTATTTGAAAAGTGCTGAAAAATACCGATTACTCTATATAGAAAGTAACAATCTTTCATAAGCTTCAGCACTATTGAAAAACTTAGAGTCTTTGATGATCTTAATGATGTATAGGTGTGCTCAGACACAATCTTATTTGAAATTATCTTTTCTTGGAATAAGTAAGCTTCAATGTGAAAGGTATTTCACACTTCAAAAGAGCTTATTCAGATGATTCAATATCAAATCAACAGTTGTTAAGAAAGTCTGTTTGTAAGTCTAAATATTTTCTTCTAGCTTAAAGACTGAATATTTTCACACACACACACACACACACACACACACACACACACACACACACACACACACAAACGGATCTTTACATGGCTCTGGTCCCCGCAGGGTAAGACGAAGAAACTGTGGAAGAAATACATGAAAATGAGTCACTCAATTCATGATGAATTTTGCTCTGGAGATGTGAACAACAACAACAAAAAACATTTTTACCTTGTACTGCATGTATATTTAAAGAGGTTTCTATAAAGATTCAGAGACCTTGTCTTGTAGCTGTTGCTTTCTCTCCCAGGAATTAATTATCTCCTTTGATGAAAAGACTGTCTTAGAAGCAGATATTCTGGAGAGACATGGTTGAAAAATACCCATCCTGAATGGGGAATTGAATGCTCTATATTTAAAACTTAAGCCTGTGAGAGTCCTTTTTTCCTATCTGAATCCAGGTTTCTAAGAAAGCTGAATGCCACATAAATGGCAAGGTGGCATAATTCCAGAGTGGGCACCACATGTAGTTTCCCTGTCAACTCATGCTACAGAAAGAGCTGCTGTGTTTTCATCTAATATGAAACCATTTTTGGAAAAATGTTATTGGTTGCTTGAGATCTAGAGCACTGAGGGCATGAAATTAATGGCAGCCAGTTTAAAGGACTTGACTCCAAATGCTGTTGTTTTTCTTTCCCTCCTTATACTTTACTGAGGTATATTTGACAAAAAATTTTTATATTCGAGGTGTACTACTTGATGATTTATATATTACACATTGGGTAATAATCACCATAATCAACATAATTAACATGCTCATCACCTTATATAGTTAATCATTTTTATTGCTATGGTGAGAAACTTGAGCTCTACCTTCATTTTTTTATTATACTTTAAGTTTTAGGGTACATGTGCACAACGTGCAGGTTAGTTATATATGTATACATGTGCCATGTTGGTGTGCTGCACCCCTTAACTCATCATTTAGCATTAGGTATGTCTCCTAATGCTATCCCTCCCCCCTCCCCCCACCCTACAACAGGCCCTGGTGTGTGATGTCTCCCTTCCTGTGTCCATGTGTTCTCACTGTTCAATTCCCACCTATGAGTGAAAACATGCTGTGTTTGGTTTTTTGTCCTTGTGATAGTTTGCTGAGAATTATGGTTTCCAGCTCCATCCATGTCCCCACAAAAGACAGGAAACCATCATTTTTCATGGCTGCATAGTATTCCATGATGTATATGTGCTACATTTCTTAATCCAGTCTATCATTGTTGGCTCCAAGTATTTGCTATTGTGAATAGTGCCACAATAAACATACGTGTGCATGTCTTTAAAGCAGCATGATTTATAATCCTTTGGGTATATACCCAGTAATGGGATGGCTGGGTCAAATGGTATTTCTAGTTCTAGATCCCTGAGGAATCACCACACTGGCTTCCACAATGGTTGAACTGGTTTACAGTCCCAAAAACAGTGTAAAAATGTTCCTATTTCTCCACATCCTCTCCAGCACCTGTTGTTTCCTGACTTTTTAATGATCGCCATTCTAACTGGTGTGAGATGGTATCTCATTGTGGTTTTGATTTGCATTTCTCTGATGGCCAGTGATGATGAGCATTTTTTCATGTGTCTTTTGGCTGCATAAATGTCTTCTTTTGAGAAGTGTCTGTTCATGTCCTTTGCCATCTTGATGATGGGGTTGTTTGTTTTTTTCTTGGAAAGTTGTTGGAGTTCATTGTAGATTCTGGATATTAGCCGTTTGTCAGATGAGTAGATTGCAAAAATTTTCTCCCATTCTGTAGGTTGCCTGTTCACTCTGATGGTAGTTTCTTTTGCTGTGCAGAAGCTCTTTAGTTTAATTAGATCCCATTTGTCAATTTTGGCATTTTTTGCCATTGCTTTTGGTGTTTTAGACATGAAGTCCTTGCCATGCCTATGTCCTGAATGGTATTGCCTAGGTTTTCTTCTAGGATTTTTATGGTTTTAGGTCTAACATGTAAGTTTTTAATCCATCTTGAATTAATTTTTGTATAAGGTGTAAGGAAGGGATCCACTTTCAGCTTTCTACATATGGCTAGCCAGTTTTCCCAGCACCATTTAATAAATAGGGAACTGTTTCCCCATGTCTTGTTTTTGTCAGGTTTGTCAAAGAACAGATGGTGGTAGTTATGTGACATTATTTCTGAGGGCTCTTTTCTGTTCCATTGTTCTATATCTCTGTTTTGGTATCAGTACCATGCTGTTTTGATTACTGTAGCCTTGTAGTATAGTTTGAAGTCAGGTAGCGTGATGCCTCAATTCAACAAGAAGAGATAACTATCCTAAATATATATGCACCCAATACAGGAGCACCCAGATTCATAAAGCAAGTCCTCAGAGACCTACAAAGAGACTTAGACTCCCACACATTAATAGTGGGAGACTTTAACACCCCACTGTCAACATTAGACAGATCAACGAGACAGAAAGTTAACAAGGATATCCAGGAATTGAACTCAGGTCTGCACCAAGCGGACCTAATAGACATCTACAGAACTCTCCACCCCAAATCAACAGATTATACATTCTTCTCAGGACCACACCATACCAATTCCAAAATTGACCACATAGTTGGAAGTAAAGCACTCCTCAGCAAATGTAAAAGAACAAAAATTATAGCAAACTGTCTCTCAGACCACAGTGCAATCAAACTAAACTCAGAATATAAGAAACTCACTCAAAACCGCTCAACTACATGGAAACTGAACAACCTGCTCCTGAATAACTACTAGGTCCATAACAAAACAAAGGCAGAATTAAAAATGTTCTTGGAAACCAATGAGAACAAAGACACAATATACCAGAATCTCTGGGACACATTCAAAGCAGTGTGTAGAGGGAAATTTATAGCACTAAATGCCCACAAGAGAAAGCAGGAAAGATCTAAAATTGACACCCTAACATCACAATTAAAGGAACTAGAGAAGCAAGAGCAAACACATTCAAAAGCCAACAGAAGGCAAGAAATAACTAAGATCAGAGCAGAAGTGAAGGAAATAGAGACACAAAAAAAAACTTTCAAAAAATCAGTGAATCCAGGAGCTGGTTTTTTGAAAAGATCAACAAAATTGATAGACGCTGGCAAGACTAGTAAAGAAGAAAACAGAGAAGAATCAAATAGATGCAGTAAAAAATGATAAAGGGGATATCACCACCAATCTCACAGAAATACAAATTACCATCAGAGTACACTGTAAACACCTCTATGCAAATAAACTAGAAAATCTAGAAGAAATGGATAAATTCCTTGACACATACACCCTCCCAAGACTAAACCAGGAAGAATTTGTATCTCTGAATAGACCAATAACAGGCTCTCAAATTGAGGCAATAATTAATAGCTTACCAAGCAAAAAAAGTCCAGGACCAGATGGATTCACAGCGAAATTCTACCAGAGGTACAAGGGGAAGCTGGTATCATTCCTTCTGAAACTGTTCCAATCAATAGAAAAAGAGAGAATCCTCCCTAACTCATTTTATGAGGCCAGCATCATCCTGATACCAAAGCCTGGCAGAGGCACAACAAAAAAAGAGAATTTTAGACAAATATCCCTGATGAACATCGATGCAAAAATCCTCAATAAAATACTGGTAAACTGAATCCAGCAGCACATCAAATAGCTTAACCATCATGATCAAGTGGGCTTCATCCCTGGGATGCAAGGCTGGTTCAACATATGCAAATCAATAAACGTAATCCAGCATATAAACAGAACCAATGACAAAAACCATATGATTATCTCAATAGATACAGAAAAGGCCTTTGACAAAATTCAACAAATCTTCATGCTAAACACTCTCAGTAAGTTAGGTATTGATGGGACGTATCTCAAAATAATAAGAGCTATCTATGACAAACCCACAGCCAATATCATACTGAATGGGCAAAAACTGGAAGCATTCCCTTTGAAAACTGGCACAACACAGGAACACCCTCTCTCACCACTCCTATTCAACATAGTGTTGGAAATTCTGGCCAGGGTAATCAGGCAGGAGAAGGAAATAAAGGGTATTCAATTAGGAAAACAGGAAGTAAAATTGTCCCTGTTTGCAGATGACATGATTGTATACCTAGAAAACCCCATTGTCTCAGCCCAAAATCTCCTTAAGCTGATAGGCAACTTCAGCAAAGTCTGAGGATACAAAACCAATGTGCAAAAATCACAATCATTCTTATACACCAGTAACAGAGAGCCAAATCATGAGTGAACTCCCATTCAGAATTGCTACAAAGAGAATAAAATACCTAGGAATCCAACTTACAAGGGATGTGAAGGACCTCTTCAAGGAGAACTACAAACCACTGCTCAATGATATAAAGGAGGATACAATCAAATGGAAGAACATTCCATGCTCATGGGCAGGAAGAATCAATATCACAAAAATGGCCATACTGCCCAAGGTAATTTACAGATTCAATGCCATCCCCATCAAGCTACCAATGGCTTTCTTCACAGAATTGGAAAATCTTCTTTGAAGTTCATATGGAATGAAAAAAGAGCCCACGTTGCCAAGTCAATCCTAAGCCAAAAGCTCTACCTTCTTAAATCTACTGTACTGTATACAAAACTGTAGTAATAACTGTAGTCACTTTGCTGTACCTTAGCTCTACCACTTATTTTACATAAGGGTGACTTTATACACCTTGACCAACATTCCCATTTCTCCCTGCTCTAGCCCCTCACAACTACTATACTATTCACTGTTTCTATGAGTTTTATTATTTTAGATTTTACCTATAAGTGAGGACATGCAATATTTGTCTTTTTGTGCCTGGCTTATTTTGTTTAGCATAATGTCCTGCAGATTTATCCATGTTCTTGCAAATGGAAGAATTTCTTTTCTATTAAGGCTGAATTATATATATATATATAATCACTTTTCTAATCCATTAAGTTACCAATAGGCAATTAGATTGTTGCTGTATCCTTGTATTGTGAATAATACTCCAGTAAACATGGAATACAGGTATCTTTTCAAGATACCAATTTCATTTTCTTTGGATATAAAACCAGAATTGAGATTGCTGGATCAGAAGCTTTCTAATTTTGGGGGGAACCTCTATACTGTGTTCCCAATGCCTGTATCAACTTACATTCTCGCCAACTGTGCACAAGGGTTTTCTTTCCTCCACTTCTTCACTAACATTTATCTTTTTTCTGATATAGCTATGCTACATGTGTGAGGTGATATTTCATTGTGATTTTGCTTTGCATTACTATAATAATAAGTGATATTGAGTATCTTTTCAAATACTGGTTGGACTTTCATATATTTTCTTTTGAGAGGTTTTTATTCTCATTCTTTGTCCATTTTTTTATTTTTTTGCTATTGAGTTGTATGTGCTCCTTTTATATTTTGGATATTAACTCCTAATCATATACATGGATTGCAAATATTTTCTCTCATTCCATAGATTGCCTTTTCACTTTGTTGATTGTTTCCTTTGCTGTGAAGAAACTTTTCATTTGATACAATACTACTCATTTATTTTTGCTTTTGTGACCTGTGCTTTTGGTATCAGATTAAAATATAATTGCCCAGACCAAAATCAAGATTTTCTTTCTCCTGTTTTCTTCTACTAACTTTGTAGTTTCAGGTATTGCATTTAAGTTGTCAATCCATTTTCATTTGCTTTTTGTATATGGTGTGAGATAAGGGTCCAATTTCATTCTTCTGTTTGTGGATATCCAGTTTTTCTAACACCATGTATTGAAAAGACTCTTCTTCCTCCTACTGTGTGTTCTTGACACCTTTGTCAGAGATGAGTTAATAGATGTGTGGGTTTATTTCTATGCTACTATAGTATTAGAATAGTCTGTCTTTACCAATGAGTTTATGCTTTCATATGTTTTCATGTTGTTAGTTACTGTCCTTTCATTTCAGCTCACTTTTGTTTCAAGTGTGAAGAATTTCCTTTAGTATTCCCTTTAAGGCAGGTCCAGTGGTGATGAACTCACTGAGATTATGTTTGTCTGGGAAAGTTTTATCACTTTTTTATTTCTGAACAGTTTTTCTGAGTGTTCTGTGTTGATAGTTCTCTTTCTTTTTCTTTCAGCACTTTGAATATATAGAAACTGCAAGGTTTCTGCTGAAAAATCTGCTAATAGTTTTATTCCTTTGTACGTGATAAGTCATTTTTTCCTTAGTGCTTTCAAACTTCTCTCTTTGTCCTTAATTTTGGCAATTTGATTCTATTGTGTTTTGATGAAGACATCTTTATGTCCTAACTTTTGTAGTTCTTTGAGCTTCATGGGTCTGGATGTTTATATCCATTCCTACATTTGGGGACCATTTTCTTTATTATCATTTCTTTAAACATACTTTTAGCTTCTCTTTCTTTCTCTGTTCCTTCTGGGTAGCCCATAATACATACATTGACATACAGGATGGTGTTCCAGAAATACCAAAGGCTTTTTTAACTTTATTTGTCCTTTTTTTCCCTCCAAGTGAGACACATTTCAAGCAATCTGTCTTCAAGCTTGCTGATTCTTTCTCCTGCTTGGCTGAGTCTGCTTTGCAGCTCTCTTTATTGAATTTTTCAGTTCACTGTGTTCCTCTCTTGAATTTCTGTTTGATTCCTTTTTATGGTTTATATATTTTTATTGAACTTCTAATTTTGTTCATGCTTTGTTTTCCTAATTTTTAAAGTTGTTTACCTGTGTTATGTATTCCCATGAATTCTTGAAGACAATTATTTTGAATTCCTTGTCAGACAGTTCATATATCTCCATTTCTTTAGGGTCAATTACTGTTGATTTATTTATTTCCTTTGGTGGTATCATGTTTGTCTGATCCTTCATGATTCCTATAAACTTGTTTGGTGTCTTTGCATTTGAAGAAGTTGTCATCTCTTCTAGCCTTTACAGTCTGGCTTCTTCTGGGAAAGTCCTTCACCAGTCAGCTTGTCTAGAATTCCTATGTGAGCCAACAGTTGAAGAGACTATGGGCAGTTCGACTGTAGAGGTCTCCAGGCAGATAACCTTACTATCTGTTTCCATAGGGTTGGCCTTGCATTAGAGTCCAGTGGGAACAGACCTGACACATGGTTCTGCAGTTGTGAGCATGGATCCTGGGTCCACCAGGGTGAGTTTAGAACCTGGGTTTATGTGGGCTGGGCTGGCACTGGAGCAGACCTTGAGACTGCATTTTTGAGGGACAGCCTGGAATTGAGGTAGGGTGGAAACTGAGTCCTCCATGGTGGAGCTATACCTATGTTAAGCCTAGTGCCAGGATCCATGGTTACTGGCCTTCCATAGATGCTCATTGGGGCAGACATGTAGGTTGAATCCATAGGGGTTGGTCTAGTGCCTGGTTTGCATTCCTGGCCTGGTGCTGAGGTGAGCTGATAGCCTGTTTTTGTAGGGACTGGCCTGGTACTGAAGCAGGCCCAGAACCTAGATCCACATAGCAGTCTAACCATAGAATAGGCCTGGAACTGGGGCCAGTTTGGCAGTGGGGTGGGTCTGGTTCCTGTATCTACATGGGCTGGCCTTGCAAAGGTGCTGGCCTGAAGCTTTAGTGTGTGAAGGGGTGGTGTGACACTGGTGCAGCCCTGGTGACTTATCTACTTGTGCCAGCCTGGCTTTGAGTTAGTAAGGACCTCATTCGTACTAGGGCTGGTTTTGTGACTTGGTCTAAGGGAGATGGCCTAGTGCTGGGGTGGTTTAAGAGCCTCAGTCTGTGGGGACCTGCCTGGCTCTGGGGTGAGCCTGGTGGTTAAGTTCATGCAAATCGACCTTGTGCTTGAGACTGTTGGTTCAGGCCTGAATAGGCAACTGCAGTGAAGTCAATGCTTACTTCAATTTTCTTTTCCACATAGGAGAGCCCTGGGACAGAGAGAGTCTCTCTTAGCCTTGTGCTACATGGGCTTGGGGAAGGGGTGACTTGGGTAAAGTAAAGCTGTTCTTCCCCCATTCAGTGCATCTTTTCTTGATTGTGTCCTCCACTTGGGTACTGTAAGTTCTCACCTGTGATCTAGAACTCTTGTGAATGTATTTTCATGTGCAGATGGATATTTATATTGGTGTTTCTGTGAGGGAATGTGATGTGGAAACTCCTATCTTTTGACGTCACTACCTTTGTGCATTTTTTTTTTTTTTAAGACGGAGTCTTGCTCTGTCGACCAGGCTGGAGTGCAGCAGTGTGATCTCGGCTCACTGCAAGCTCTGCCTCCCGGGTTCATGCCATTCTTCTGCCTCAGCCTCCCGAGTAGCCAGGACTACAGGCGCCTGCCACCATGCCCAGCTAAATTTTCTGTATTTTTAGGAGAGATGGTGTTTCACCGTGTTAGCCAGGATGGTCTCGATCTCCTGACCTCGTGATCCACCCACCTCGGCTGCTGGGATTACAGGTGTGAGCCACTGTGCCTGGCCCCTTTGTGCATTTTTAATTGAGTTGTTTGTCTTTTTATTTTTGAGATGTAAAGAGTACTTTACATATTTTTATACAAGATCCTTATCAAATATATGATTTGGATGTATTTTCTCCCATTTTGTGAACTGACTTTGATTTTCTAGGTAATTTCCTTTGAGGCACAAAAGTTTTAAATTTTTGATAAAGTTCAATTTGTCTGTTTTTCATTTGTTGCTTGTTTATTGCTGTATTTAAGAAACCATTGTCTAATCCCAAGATCATGAAGATTTACCCTTCTGCTTTCCTCTAATAGTTATATGTTTTTAGATTTTACACTGGATCTTTGATCCATTTGGGATTAATTTTTGTACATGGCAAGAGAAAGGGGTCCAAATTTATTATTTTGTATTTGGGTATCCAGTTGTCCCAGTATCATTTGCTGAAGAGATAATTCATTTTCTACTGAATGTTCTTGACTACTATTATTGTCGCCTCAATTATATTAAGTCTTCCATCTATGAACAGTAGATGGATTTCTGTTTATTTTGGTCTTTGTCTTACTTCATTTGTGCTGCCATAACAAATGCCACAGACTAATTTATAAAAAATAAAAATTTATGTCTCACAGCTCTAAAAACTTGGAAGTCCAAAATCTAGGTAGTCAATGTCCATCAATGATAGACTGGATTAAGAAAATGTGGCACATTTACATCATGGAATACTATGCAGCCATAAAAAAGGATGAGTTCATGTCTTTTGCGGGGACATGGATGCAGCTGGAAACCATCATTCTGAGCTAACTATCACAAGGACAGAAAACCAAACACCGCATGTTCTCACTCATAGGTGGGAATTGAACAATGAGAACACTTGGACACAGGACAGGGAACATCACACCCCAGGGCCTGTCATGGGGCGCGGTGTCAGGGGGAGGGATAGCATTCGGAGAAATACCTAATGTAAATGATGAATTGATGGGTGAAGCAAACCAACATGGCACATGTATACCTATGTAACAAACCTGCACATTGTGCACATGTACCCTAGAACTTAAAGTATGGAAAAAAAAGTCTGAATGTCTCCAAATCAAAATCAGGCTAAAGAAGACAAAATTTAATAGAATCCTTATGACAAATAAGAAAGTTATAGTATAATAATAATTTTAGTAAAGTTTATTAGTATTTACTACAACGTGGTTCATGCTAGAAAGTCATTGTCTTGTTAATCTGCACAAGAGCCTTATGAAATAGATACTGTTTTTCTTGATTTCCAACACAATTGGATGAAGCCTGGAAAATTTAAATAAATTACTTCAGTCAAGAGGTAGCAAGTACCTGAGGTAGGATTTAAACTCATGTAGTTTTGCTTTGAAACTTAAACTTTTAGGCACTGTGGTATATACCAGAAAAATGACACACATTTGAATAAGGAAAAATTCTAGTCAGGGAAATGCACAATAAATAAACATTTTTAAGAAAGGATAAATTCAGAGTGAAAAGGGCTTAAAAAAGTGAAACCTGTGATGTGATAGAGAGCAACTCAGAAGGCAGGGTGGGAGTCACTTCAGATTGGGTGTTGAAAAAGGTTTAAGTGCAAGAATTTAGTGTTTAACCTATCCAGGGTGCAGAACAATGAACTGAAAGTCATAAGTAAAACAGTAGAGAGAAATTTATGTATGTGGAGGAGGAATATTATTTGACCTGATGCAACTCTTGCCTTTAATTTCTTTCTTCTCTTTTGACCCTAATATCACCAACTAAATTTATCATATTATAATTAATTCATTTCTAATTAAAATCAGGATGAAGTAAAATAAAGCATATGCATCCAAGCAACCACCTTTTCCCAGAAGCCTTTGTGTGTGCCTCTGGCAGTTGCTATTTTTGATGGACTTTTTGGTGTAGTCAATGACATTGATCTCCAGTTTGCCTCTGAATGACTATTGTTTTAAAATTAATTTCTATCTTTTTTCCCATGTAAAAAATTCACTTAGTGAAGTTGAGATAGGTTGATTTGTAAAAGGACAGCTATTTAACCAATTGTAATTGATGTATTCACACCCTGTCAGGGTCTGTACAATTGTTCCCCACCAAACATGTATCTGTTTGATCTCATCCAGCACCACTCTCTCGCTTGTTCACTGTGCTCCAGCTGCTGTGACCTTATTCTTGCCCTCGGGCCATTGTACTAGCTCTTCTTTATTCCCCAAATGCTCATCTTCTAGATCTTCACATGGCTAGGTCCTTGTCATCACTCAGTCTGTAGTTCAATTTCTCTTCCTTAGAGGTCTTCTTGAGCCATCCATGTAAAGCCATTCTCTCTCTCTTTGAGTTATCTTCTATCACATTACTTTGTTTCATTTTATCTTCAACATTTTCACCACACGATTGTCAGATTTAATTTTTTTGTCCTCTTTTTCCAGTTAGAATTAAAATCCATGAAAGTAGAGGTATTGGCTGTTTTGTTCACTATGGCATTTCCAGCACAAGAAATGCCCATGTGTTTATTCTATGTCAAGCTTATTCTGTGCCAAGAATGGGCTGTTACAAGTAAATGCAGTTTTCAAAGGGACCCTTGCTAAACAGAATGCTTCTGCAATTGATGGCTTTCCATCCTTGGTGACAAATTGAAATAGAGAAATTTAGATCAATTTATTATATCAGCCATGGTTCTTAGGTGATGACACAGAATTATCTCTGGCTAGTTTAGGCAGAAGAGATTTGCTATATGCAATTAAGTTTTTTAAAGAACCTTTGGAAAGGTTAGAATTACAGAGTCTGACATGAATGACCAGGAATAACTTGTAGAAGCTCATCTGTTGGGACAGGTGCTCCCAAGGAGCCGCTGCCCTTCTGACACCATAGTTATGTTGCCACAGGCACATCTCCACAGGTGCTGCTGCTTCTCTGACCGCAGATCCACTTCGCCTTTGTTGACATAGTCAGAACCCAGCCTCAGGTAACTAATTTCCAACTCAAAGACTTGCACGGATGCTCCTGGTTCCTATCTCTCAAGTCACGTGTCTAACCTTCTGGGACTAGCATTGTATAGCATATGATTTGGTAGCAAATCTCAAGCAGCTCTTCTAACTTAATTTGAGATGCTTATTAATGGAAGATTCCCTCAATTGAAAAAATGCTTCCCTTACTTTACTTTCATTTTTAGATAATATTTCTATTTTTTATTGTATACATTTAAGTTATACAACACAATTTTTTGATATACATGTACATGGTGAAACTATTACTACAGGTATGCACTTTAACATATCCATTATCTCACATGGTTATCTTTTGGCATCGTAATTTTTTTTTTTTTGTTAGAGGACCCAAAGCCTACTCTGTTAGAAAATTTGCAGTATACAATACAATATTATTAACTATAGTTTTTATACTACACTTTATTTAGATCTTTAGATTTATTCATCCTATATATCTTCCCATTTCCCCCACACTCTGCCTCTGGTAACCACTGTTGTTCTATTCTCTGTTTCTACATATTCAGCTATTTATTTATTTTTTTGTATTCCACATATAGGAGAAATTATGCAGTAATTTTCTTTCTGAGTCTGGCTTATTTCACTCAACATAATGACTTCCAGTTTCATTCATATTATTGCAAATGGCAGGATCTCCTTGTTTTTAAAATGGAAATAATATTCATATATGAATATTATATATTTAATATAATATAAAATATATGTTATATATTTAATATAATATAAAATATATGTTATATATTTAATATAATATAAAACATAAATTATGTATATTATATATTATATTAAGGTAATATATTATAATAAACATATTACATTATCAATATAGTAATAATATGCTATGTTAATATAATTCATAATAATAAATTTTAATAATAATCACATTCATATTTTATGCTTTTTAAAAAATCTAGTCATCTGTTGGGAAACATTAGAGTTTTGTTTTCATATAGTGGTTATTGTGAATAATGCAATGAACATGTGAGTGCTGATATATCTACAAGTACTACTTTCATTTACTTTGTGTGTGTATCCAGAAGAGGGATTGCTGACCCATATGGTAGTTCTATTTTTAATTTTTCGATGAGCCTCATGCTGTGTCCCCTAATGGCTGTTCCAATTTACATTTCCACCAACAGTGTACCAGTGTTCTCTTTTCTCTATGTCCTCACCAACACTTATTATCTCGTCTTTTTGATAAAGCCATCCTAAGAAGTGTGAGGTGATGTCTCGTTGTGATTTTAATGTGCATTTACCTGATGATTAGTAATATTGGGCATCTTTTCTTTTATCTATTGGCCAAGTTTTTGTTTTGTTTGGAGAAATATCCATTCAGGTTCTTTGGTAATATTTAATTGGGTTATTAATTTTTTTTTGCTGTTGAGTTATGTGAATTCCTTATATATTTTGGATATTAACTCCTTAACAGATTTATGGGTTACAAATACTTTCTCCCAATTTCTAGGCTGTCTTTTACTTTTGTTGATTGTTTTCCTTGATATGCTGAAGTTTTTAGCTTGATGTAGTCCCACTTGTTTGGTTTTTGCTTTTATTTCTTGTGCCTTTGGTGTCCTATCCAAAAAATTATCGGCAAGACCAATATCATGCAGATTTTCCACTATGTTTTCGTCCTAGGGTTTTTATAGATAATAGTTTGTGTTCAGTTCTTTAATCCATTTTGATTTGATTTTTATTTATGGTATAGTATAAGTGTCCAGTTTTATTCTTTTGCATGTGGATATCCAGCTTTCTTAACACCATTAATTGAAGAGAGTAACTTTTCTCTATGTTTCATTCTCGGTGCTTTTGTTAAAGATTAATTAATAGTATATGCCTGGGACCGGGTGCCGTGGCTCACACCTGTAATCTCAGCACATTGGGAGGCCAAGGCGGGTGGATCACCTGAGGTCAGGAGTTCAAGACCAGCCTGGCCAAAATGGTGAAACCCCCGTCTCTACTGAAAATACAAAAAATAGCTAGGTATGGTGGTGGGCAACTGTAATCCCAACTACTTGGGAGGCTGAGGCTGGAGAATTGCTTGAACCTTGGAGGTGGAGGTTGCAGTGAGCTGGGATTGCCCACTGCACTCCAGCCTGGGTGACGGAGCGAGAATCTGTCATAAAAAAAAAGAAGAAAAACGTATACGTGTGGGCTTATTTCTTGGCTTTCTATTCTGTTTCTTTGGTCTATGTGTCTGTTTTTACATCCATACTGTTTTTATAACCATACTGATTTGATGATAATAGCTTTGTGACATAATTTGTATTTTCTCTTTATTTTATTTTATTTTATTTTATTTTATTTTATTTTATTTTATTTTATTTTATTTTATTTTATTTTATTTCAAACGGAGTCTTGCTCTGACACCCATGCTGGAGTGCAGTGATGTAATCATGGCTCACTGCAGCCTGCACCTCCCAGGTTCAAGAGATTCTCGTGTCTCAGCCTCCCAAGTAGCTAGGATTACAGGTGTGTGCTGCCACACCTTGCTAATTTTTGTATTTTTAGTAGAGAAGGGGTTTTACCATATTAGCCAGGCTGGTCTCAAACTCTTGGCCTCAAGTGATGCACCTGCCTCAGGCTTCCAAAGTTCTGGGATTATAGGTGTCAGCCACCACACCCAACCACTTTGTGACATAATTTTTAATCAGGAAGTGTGATGCCTCCAACTTTTCTTTCCCCTCAAGATTGCTTTGGCTACTTGAGGTCTTCTGTGGTTCCATTTGAATTTTATTTATTTATTTAAAAAAGTCTAAACTTTAAAAAATGTCACTGGAATTTTTACATGATTACAGTGGTACAGGTAACATTGAATCTGTATATCACTTTGGATGGTATGGACATTTTAACAATATTTATTTTTTCTATCCATGAACCTGAAATACCTTTTCATTTGTCTATGGTCTACCATGCTGAAGAAACCCAATCTCTGATTTCAGAAGGAAAGCTAAGTTGAACCTAATTAGTACTTTCATTGTTTTTTAATAAACCAAAAAATATATTGTTCAGTATTGTGTATTAGGCACTGCGTAAGCACTTTACACAACTTATATCATATTATCATCATAATGTCATGAATTACATATTATTCTCATTTTAGGGAAACAATGAGACTTATAGATGTTCAAAATAACCTTTTAAAGTTATAACATTTTAGGTAAGAAGGCTAACTCTGATAATCTGTCTCCAACTTAAATTCCTGTTTAAAATCCATAGTCACCTATGTCCAAAATGGTAAAATCATTTCATATTGTCTCATCTCTCTATCTGGACCTCGGCTCCAAATGTAGACTCCAGAATCATTTATCCTCAGGCAGGTATGAGCTTCCTTTCCCTGATTGCTTGTTGGGTTGTTGTTGTTTTAAACACTAAATTTTATTTTTTAGTGTCACAGAATTTGAGCAGGTAGTACAAAGAGTTCCTATATAACCTCTGTACCTACACATGCATAGTATCCTCTACTATCAACATTCCACACACCACAGTGGTACACGTTTACAACAATAAATCTCTACTGGTACACTTATGTAACTCAAAGTTCTTAGTTTACACTAGGATTTGCTCTTGGTATTGTATATTCTATGAGCTTGGACAAATATATAATGACATGTATCCACTGTTACAGTATCTGTTAGTAGAATAGAGTAACTAACATAAAAATCCTCTGTGCTCAAGACTTGGAACCAACCCAAATGCCCATCAATGATAGACTGGATAAAGAAAATGTGGCACATATACACCATGGAATACTAAGCAGCCATAAAAAACATGAGTTCATGTCCTTTTCAGGGACATGGATGAAACTGGAAGCCATCATTCTGAGCAAATTAACACAGGGACAGAAAACCAAACGCCACATGTTCTCACTTATAAGTGAGAGTTGAACAATGAGAAAACAGGAACACAGGGAGGGGAAAACCACACACTGAGGACTTTCAGGCCATGAGCGGCAAGGGAAGAGAGAGCATTAGGACAAATACCTAATGCATATGGGGCTTAAAACCTAGATGACAGGTTGATGGGTGCAGCAAACCACCATAGCATGTGTATACCTATGTAACAAACCTGCATGTTCTGCACATGTATCCCAGAACTTAAAGTAAAACTAAAAATAAAAAGCCTCTGTGCTCCACTTATTCTTCCCTCCTTCCTCCATAAACCCTAATGTCCACTGATATTTTTACTGTCTCCATAGTTTAGCCTTTTCCAGAATGCCATATAGTTGGAAATATACAATATGTAACATTTTCAAATTGGCATTTTCTCTCAGTGATATGTATTTTGTTTTCTCCCTGTGTTTTCATGGCTTGGTAGTTCATTCTTTTTAGTACTGAATAATATTTCATCGTCTGGATTCGCACATTTATTTATCCACTTACCTACTAAAGAGCATCTTCATGGCCTCTAAGTTTTGGCAATTATGAATAAAGCTGCTAGAAATATTTGTGTTCGAGTTTTTGTGTGGGCATAAATTTTCACCTTATTTGAGTAAATGTCAAAAATCCCAGTTGCTTGATTATATGATAACAGTATGTTTAGTTTTATAAGAAATTGCCAAACTGTCTTCCAAAGTATCTGACATCATTTGTCTATTGTATGATCTATCTATTTCTTCAACAATACTACATTGTCTTGATTGCTGTACCTCTATAGCAAGTCTTGAAGTTGGGTAGTAACAGTTCTCCAACTTTGTTCTTTCCCTCAGTATCACATTAGCTATTCTTGGTCTTTTGCCTTTCCATATAAGCTTTAGAATTAGTTTGTCAATATTTACAAAATACCTTGCTGGAATTTTTACTGTGATTAAAATGAATGTATAGATAAAGTTGGGAAGAATAGATATCTTGAAAATATTGAGTCTTCCTATCCATGAATATGAAATATTTCTTCATTTATTTAGTTTTTTCATTTGTTTTTTCTTTTTTTTTTTTTTGAGATGGAGTTTCACTCTTGTCATCCAGGCTGGAGTGCAATGGTGTGATCTCGGCTCACTGCAACCTGCGCCCCCTCGGTTCAAGTGATTCTCCTGCCTCAGCCTCCCGAGTAGCTGGGATTACAGGCATGTGCCACCATGCCTGGCTAATTTTGTATTTTTTCTTAGTAGAGACGGGGTTTCTCCATGTTGGTCAGACTGATCTCAAACTCCCGACCTCAGCTGATCTGCCTGCCTCAGCCTCTCAAAGTGCTGGAACTACAGGCATGAGCCTCCGTGCCCGGCCTTAATTTGTTAATTAGAGCTTTGTAGTTTTTCTCACTTGTACACAATTTTGTTAGATTTTTACCTAAGTTTTTCATTTTATTGGATTGCTAAATAAATGATATTGTGTTTTGAATTTTAGATTATACTTGTTCATTGCTGGTATATAGAAAAGTGATTGACTTTTGTATATTAACCTTGATCCTACCACTCTGTTCTAATTATTAGTTCCAGTATTTTTTTGTTGATTTAGAAAAAATTTCTACATAGATGGTCATGTCATCTATAGACATTGACAGTTTTATTTCTTCCTATCAGTATACTTTTTATTCTTTATCTTGTCTTATTACATTAGCTAGGACTGCCAGAACAATGTTGACAAGAAGTGATGAGAAGAGACATTCTTGCCGTTTTCCCGATCTTAGTAGGAAAGCTTCAAGTTTCTCACCATTAAGTGTGATGCTAGCTGTAGATTCTTACTTTACAGTTTTTTTTTAGAATCATAAATAGGTGTTAGATTTTTTTTCAGAATCATAAATAGGTGTTAGATTTTTTCAAATGCTTTTTCTGCATCTATTAATATGGTAATTTGATTTTTTCTCTTTAACATTCGAGGCAATGGATTATGCCAATTGATTTTTGAATGTTGATCCCACCGTGCATACTAAATTGTACACCAGGATCTACTGAGATTTAGTCCGGGTATGCAGGGTGGAATCAACATTCAAAAGTACCTGGACTAAATCTCCATTGATCCTGGTGTACAATTATCTTTACATATTGTTGAACTTAATCTGCTAATATTTTGTTGAGGATTTTGCATCTATATTAATAAGAGATATTAGTCTGAAGTTTTCTTTTGTTGTAATGTCTTTGTTCTTGGGAGTAGGGTATGGCTGGCTTCATTGAATGAGTTAGGAAGTCTTCTTTCCTCTTCTATTTTCTAAAAGAAATTTAGAGAACTGGTATAATATCTTCCTTAAATATTTGGTAGAATTTACCAGTGAACCTGTCTGACCTGGTGCTTTCTGCTTTGGAAGGTGCTATGTACTTAATGTTTGTGTCAACCCAAAATTCATGTATTAAAATTCTAACTCCCTATGTGATGGTATTAGGAGGTGGAGCCTCTGAGAGGCCATCAGGGTGGAGCCCTGATAAATGGGATTAGTGCCCTTATAAGAGGCCCTTAGAGAAGGCTATGATTGAGTATTTCATTTACTCCAAGTAGGTTAGGCTCTAATAAAACCCCAGCAAGTTAGGGTGTGGCTAACAATAGGTTCTTCTGAGGGCCAGCCTTGTTAAGAAGAACAGAATACTGTGGATATTTAAAAATGTTTTTCCCCATCTCCAGGAAGATGAATTTATCACTTATTTCCCTACTTTGCCATAGCAATTATTTTCCTTTTATCTAATACTTGATTTTTTTCCCATTAGTGTGGGTTTGGATATATTTTGTAAAAAGTTTATTTAACATGTGGACAGGTCTTTTCCTAACATCTTCTGTGAGTATCAGGTAGGGATCATGAAGTTAAAACTCACAAAAGGTGAGAGACCCTCTGCCCTGCCCCACCTTGACTGATTCCCCTAGAGTTTTTATTTTTCAGCCTTCTCCATTAAGAAGTTCATCAATTAAGTTCAGGTTTTTCCTACCTATATCTACCCTCCTTGGCACAGGTTCTTGTGGGGTTTCTGCTTGTGGGTTTCTGCTCAGGGAAGGTGTGATTCTCTCTATCTGCCTGTCTATCTCTGCAATTTTGAGGGCAGCAGTTTGCGCTGTGAGCTCACTTCTGTGATGGATTTAAGATGAATTGTTGATATTTTAGTTTGTTCAGCTTTTTACTTGTTGTTAGGGTACAGTGGTGACTTCTAAGCTCTTTACATGCTAGACTATAAGTCCCCATTACTTTCTTTTAAAAAGAACTTTAAATGAAATACAAATTCCTTACCAAGATCTATACTGCCCTGCAGGGCTTGGCTTCTGTCCATCCCTTCAACCTCAGTTTGTTCTGTCCATTCTCTTTTCCTTTTCCTTTCAGGCACTAAGACCTTCTGTTGACTTGCACTTGCTCAGCTCTTTAAATATTGGAGCTTTCCACATGTAACAATATTTTCCATGGAGCAATATTTTTTCCTTTGGACCTCAGCTAAGTATCACCATTTAAAAAGACCTCTGATTACCTTCTTTACAGTAATATCTCACTTTTATTTTTCATAACAATACACAGTATTTTAAATACTGATCATAGATTATAATTTATTAAATTGTTTCCTTACTTTCTTAGAAGATATAAAGTTAATGTAGGCAGGACTTTTATGCTGTTGTTTTTTTTTCTGTTTCATTAACTATTGTATCTTAAGCTTATGGCATAGAACTTGGCATGAAAAGGATACTCATAACAATTTTTTAGAATAATAAATGCATAGATAAATAGTTATTACAACTAAATAAAATATTTTAAAAACATATCCAAACCCACACTTGTAGGCAGAAAAAATGGAAATTAGATAAAAGGAAAAAAGCCTGCTATTGCAAAGTGGTGAAAATATGATAAATTAATCTTCTAAGTGGCTAGGCTGATATTTTATTCTTCTTTGGCAATCCTACTATAATGGTTGTTTTTTCTTCCCTTGTTACATCTTTCTGACCCTAGTTATGTGATTGATCTGACAATATCTCTACATGCAAATGTTCTTTAAAAATATGGGGAAAATCCCGGTGAACTTAATTAAGCAAAAATCAGTCTTGAACAGAATCCAATTCCAAAACTCCATGATTAATGTGCTTATAAGGTACAAAGTCTTCAATAATATTTGCCCCTGTCAGGTAGAAGATACTATCATCCTTTTAAGGGCTAATTATTTCAGAAGATGTTTTATTAGGTTTACCACATGATATAAAAAAGGCACAAGAATTTCCTCCTCAAGGACACCCAGGAATTGATCTGAGCTCTACACCAAGTGGATCTAACAGACATCTACAGAACTCTCCACCCCAAATCAACAGAATATACATTTTTTTCAGCACCACACCACACCTATTCCAAAATTGACCACATACTTGGAAGTAAAGCTCTCCTCAACAAATGTAAAAGAACAGAAATTATAACAAACTATCTCTCAGACCACAGTGCAATCAAACTAGAACTCAGGATTAAGAATCTCACTCAAAAGCACTCAACTACATGGAAACTGAACAACCTGCTCCTGAATGACTACTGGGTACATAATGAAATGAAGACAGAAATAAAGATGTTCTTTGAAACCAACGAGAACAAAGACACAACATACCAGAATCTCTGGGACGCATTCAAAGCAGTGTGTAGAGGGAAATTTATAGTACTAAATGCCCACAAAAGAAAGAAGGAAAGATCCAAAATTAACACCTTAACATCACAATTAAAAGAACTAGAAAAGCAAGAGCAAACACATTCAAAAGCCAGCAGAAGGCAAGAAATAACTAAAATCAGAGCAGAACTGAAGGAAATAGAGACACAAAAAACCCTTCAAAAAGTAATGAATCCAGGAGCTGGTTATTTGAAAGGATCAGCAAAATTGATAGACCACTAGCAAGACTAATAAAGAAAAAAAGAGAGAAGAATCAAATAGATGCAATAAAAAATGATAAAGGGGATATCACAACCAATCCCACAGAAATACAATCTACCATCAGAGAATACTACAAACACCTCTACGCAAGTAAAACTAGAAAATCTAGAAGAAATGGATAAATTCCTGGACACATACACTCTCCCAAGACTAAACTAGGAAGAAGTTGAATCTCTGAATAGACCAATAACAGGATCTGAAATTGTGGCAATAATCAATAGCTTACCAACCAAAAAGAGTCCAGGACCAGATGGATTCACAGCCAAATTATACCAGAGGTACAAGGAGGAACTGGTACCATTCCTTCTGAAATTATTCCAATCAATAGAAAAAGAGGGAATCCTCCCTAACTCATTTTATGAGGCCAGCATAATCCTGATAGCAAAACCAGGCAGAGACACAACCAAAAAAGAGAATTTTAGACCAATATCCTTGATGAACATTGATGCAAAAATCCTCAATAAAATACTGGCAAACGAATCCAGCAGCACATCAAAAAGCTTATGCACCATGATCAAGTGCTCTTCATCCCTGGGATGCAAGGCTGGTTCAATATATGCAAATCAATAAATGTAATCCAGCATATAAACAGAACCAAAGACAAAAACCACATGATTATCTCAATAGATGCAGAGAAGGCCTTTGACAAAATTCAGCAACCCTTCATGCTAAAAACTCTCAATAAATTAGGTATTGATGGGACGTATCTCAAAATAATAAGAGCTATCTATGACAAACCCACAGCCAATATCATACTGAATGGGCAAAAACTGGAAGCATTCCCTTTGAAAATGGGCACAAGAGAGGGATGCCCTCTCTCACCACTCCTATTCAACATAGTGTTGGAAGTTCTGGCCAGGGCAATTAGGCAGGAGAAGGAAATAAAGTGTATTCAGTTAGGAAAAGAGGAAGTCAAATTGTCCCTGTTTGCAGACGACATGATTGTATATCTAGAAAACCCCATTTTCTCAGCCCAAAATCTCCTTAAGCTGATAAGCAATTTCAGCAAAGTCCCAGGATATCAAATCAATGTACAAAAATCACAAGCATTCTTATACACCAGAAACAGACAAACAGAGCCAAATCATGAGTGAACTCCCATTCACAATTGCTTCAAAGAGAATAAAATACCTAGGAATCCAACTCACAAGGGACGTGAAGGACCTCTTCAAGGAGAACTACAAACCACTGCTCAATGAAATAAAAGAGAATACAAACAAATGGAAGAACATTCCATGCTCATAGGTAGGAAGAATCAATATCGTGAAAATGGCCATACTGCCCAAGGTAATTTACAGATTCAATGCCATCCCCATCAAGCTACCAATGACTTTCTTCACAGAATTGGAAAAAACTACTTTAAAGTTCATATGGAACCAAAAAAGAGCCCGCATTGCCAAGTCAATCCTAAGCCAAAAGAACAAAGCTGGAGGCATCACACTACCTGACTTCAAACTATGCTACAAGGCTACAGTAATCAAAACAGCATGGTACTGGTACCAAAACAGAGATATAAATCAATGGAACAGAACAGAGCCCTCAGAAATAATGCTGAATATCTACAACTATCTGATCTTTGACAAACCTGAGAAAAAGAAGCAATGTGGAAAGGATTCCCTATTTAATAAATGGTGCTGGGAAATCTGGCTAGCCATATGTAGAAAGCTGAAACTGGATCCCTTCCTTACACCTTATACAAAAATCAATTCAAGATGGATTAAAGACTTAAATGTTAGACCTAAAACCATATAAACCCTAGAAGAAAACCTAGGCATCACCATTCAGGACATAGGCATGGTCAAGTACTTCATGTCTAAAACACCAAAAGCCATGGCAACAAAAGCCAAAATTGACAAATGGGATCTAATTAAACTAAAGAGCTTCTGCACAGCAAAAGAAGCTACCATCAGAGTGAACAGGCAACCTACGAAATGGGAGAAAATTTTCACAACCTACTCTTCTGACAAAGGGCTAATATCCAGAATCTACAATGAACTCAAACAAATGTACAAGAAAAAAACAAACAACCCCACCAAAAAGTGGGCAAAGGACATGAACAGACACTTCTAAAAAGAAGACATTTATGCAGCCAAAAAACACATGAAAAAATGCTCATCATCACTGGCCATCAGAGAAATGAAAATCAAAACCACAATGAGATACCATCTCACACCAGTTAGAATGTCAATCATTAAAAAGTCAGGAAACAACAGGTGCTGGCGAGGATGTGGAGAAATAGGAACACTTTTACACTGTTGTTGGGACTGTAAACTAGTTCAACCATTGTGGAAGTCAGTGTGGCGATTCCTCAGGGATCTAGAACTAGAAATACCATTTGACCCATCCATCCCATTACTGGGTATATTCCCAAAGGACTATAAATCATGTTGCTATAAAGACACATGCACACGTATGTTTATTGTGACATTATTCACAATAGCAAAGACTTGGAACCCACCCAAATGTCCAACAATGATAGACTGGATTAAGAAAATGTGGCACATATACACCATGGAATACTATGCAGCCATCAAAAATGATGAGTTCATGTCCTTTGTAGGGACATGGATGAAATTAGAAATCATCATTCTCAGTAAACTATCGCAAGAACAAAAAATCAAACACTGCATATTCTCACTCATAGGTGGGAATTGAACAATGAGAGCACATGGACACAGGAAGGGGAACATCCCACTCTGGGGACTGTTGTGGGATGGGGGAGGGGGGAGGGATAACATTGGGAGATATACCTAATGCTAGATGATGAGTTGGTGGGTGCAGCACACCAACATGGCACATGTATACATATGTAACTAACCTGTACATTGTGCACATTTACCCTAAAACTTAAAGTATAATAATAATAAATAATAAATAAATAAATAAATAAATGCATTACTACCAATGGAAAAAAGAAACAGAATTTCCTCTCCAAATTTCAAGCATGAATGCCTGGCCACAGGAAGACAAGAAAGTGAGATGGTATAAACATTGGAATGGCAGTTATTCTTTATTGAAATTAGTAGAAAAGAAGTTACAGGAGAAAAATTTCCCCCTTAAAAAGGCTAATTACTATCTTCTTATGTAGACATAGGATTTGTTTGTATTTTTAATAAATTATCCTAACATGAAAAGTTCTAATTTTCCGTTTGCACCATGGAATTTCTTTAAAATAGTTCTACAATGCAAGTCATAATTTTCTGAAATACTTAGAAACTCTGAAGACAATGGACAGACATGGCCATATGATTTCAAATATACCATGGAATGATACAGCTTTTTGTCTTCTGTGTGCATATTGGATTGAAGAGAGACTTCCAGCTCTTTGAGTGAGGTAATATGTTTTTCAAATCATAAATAAGCTTCCCAAAGGTAAGATTTTAACAGGTGGTAGTGAAACCAAGCTTTGCAGATGTGTGAATTTTTTGCTACATAGGAAATTATATCACTTGATTTTGTAAGAATTGAAATGTTGAAAAACTTTTGCTGGTGCAAAGTTGCTGGTTAGGTTTTATATGATACTTGTCATGAGTATATTTAAAAAATAGAAAAGTTAAGTCAGCAACCATGATATATCCCAAAAAGTTATACCTCCACCTAGAGAAGTAGGAGACTCATTGTGAAAAGGTGATTTCTTGGACAGCATCAAGACTTCAGTCCTCTGATAAAATGACCCCTGGTATAGATCCTGAGATGAATTGAGTTAGTAGATGCTTGGTGATGCCTGGGAGTCTATCTTATTTGATTGGTGTGACACAATGTATGTGTTCAATTAACACTTGGTGGTTGAATGAATAAATGAAAGATTGAACTTATAGTACACCTTTCCACAATATTTAGCATGAATTTAGAGGTAAACTGCTTATGATTACTGATATTGGCATCTGCAAAAGATAGATAGAACTAAAAAGATGCAAAAGCAGTTTGAATATTTGAGGACTAGTAAAAAGCCTTGAGCAGGTAAACATAGAGAATTGTAGGAAATTAGCTGAATAGGTTTCCTGGATCCCAGTCATCTAAGATCTTGTAGGCCAAGGTAGGGATTATTGGATTTTATTGAGCATACAGGCCAAGGTAGGGATACTGGATTTTATTGAGCATATAATAGGAATATCTTATAGGGGTTGTGATCAAAGGAGTAATAGGATCTGAATAATATAAGAACAAAAAAAAGGATCATTTGGGCTGCTTCAGGAACACAGATTGTCAAATTCTGAAAAGAAAGTTGGTAGACCTGGCTATTGCAGTAGACCAGGAACCAATGCAGTGTAGTGAGAATGATCAAGTTTGTAATATATTATAGAAGAAGAGTGAACAGGACTTATTAAGTATATAAATAAACAATGTGAACAGAATAAAGGGTGAAGGACATTTGAAATTTGGTCTGAACAATAACACAAAAGGGAGTACCATATTATTAATTTGATAGAAAAAGCCTAGGTAGGAATAGATACATTATGAAAAATTAAAAATCTGCTTTTATAAATCGTAAATTGAAGGCTATTTGGAGGCATCAATTAGATAGCTGCAGATATGAGTTTGAAAATTAGGGGAGAAATGGAGTAAAGGCATACAATTTTAGAGTGCTTCAGGATTTACAAGTTAGGGAAAGGAGAAATATTCAAGTAAAGACACTAAGAAGAAAGTTTCAGTGGGTCGGTAAGATATCTGGTACTGTGACAGTTATGGACCATACATTGTGTTGTATGATAATTATTGTTTCATTATGTTCCCCCCACAAATTCATATTTTGGGGCCCTAACTCTTAGTACTTCAGAATATGACCTTATTTGAGGTGGATCTTTGCAGATGTATGCAAGTTAAAATAAGATGATTGAGGTGGACCCTGATCCAATATGACTTATGTCATTAATAGAAGGAGAAATTTGAATACAGACATGTATACAAGGAGTATTCTGTATTAACATATAGTTGGTCATCTATAAACCAAGGGCAGAGGCTGAAAATATCCCCTTCCCTTATATCTTCTGTAGGAACCAACACTGTTAATATGCTAATTTGAATTTCTAAGATCTAGAACTATGAGATGATAAATTTCTGTTGTTTAAGGCACCCAGTTTGTGCTACTTTGTTGCAGCTGTTCTAACAAAATAATACAGCTTTTGGTACTGGGAGTGAGGTACTGCTGCAATAAATACCTCAAATGTGGAAGTGGCTTTGCAACTGGGTAATTGGTAGATGCTTGCAGAGTTTGAGAGTGCATTATAGACAGAGCCTGGATTGCCTTGAAGATACTTGGGTAGGAATATGGACATTGAAAAGTGATTCTGGTGAAGGCTCAGAAAGGAAAGAGGGGAACTGAGGAGAAAACATCTGTTGTCTTAGAGAAAACATATTTCATCATGAGCTGAATTTTGCTAGAAATATGAATGTTAAGGTACTCATATTTAAGGTTACAAATGGAAATTAGGAACAAGTTATTGGAAAGTGCAGGAAAAGCATAATTATTATAAGGTGGTGGCCCTAGTGAATAATACAAAGAAATTTGGTCTATAGCCTTGCACACACAATGCATTCTACCCACTATGAATATATATATTACCTTAAGTGAGTCTTGAATGTGATATTTTAGTGAGTTTATACATGGCACATCTTTTCATGGAATTCCCTTTTCCATCCTCTTCTTTCACTTCTCCTTTAAACTCATCAAAAGTATCACTTCCTCTGGGAAACCTACCCAGAGCCCAGTTGGATTTAGAAGACCCAATGCTGTGAAGCCATAGCACAATTTAAATTATTTATAATCACACTTGCTAAATTGGTTTTTGTCTGAAGACTTTATTGTGCAATTCTGACAGTACACTGAAGATTAACAACCAAATTGGCAATAAATAAATCTAAAGGATATTTTTATAATGATAAATAGTTTTCTATATGGACCTTTGCTCAAATGGCTTATATACCAGAATCATCTTTGACATGCAGTATTCACTTGGCCCTTAGTTTTAGATATTATATTCTTTTCTCTTCACCATTGAAAGAGTAAAATCATCTTATGTTTGGATTATTTCTCTCTTCAAGTCATCTTTTGACCCAGAAGTTTCTCAACACTTTTCACCTCTGCATTTCTGAGGGTTAGACTAAAGGGTTTAATGTAGGCGTTATCATGGTGTAAAGCACAGCCACTGCTTTACTGACTGGGGAAGGGTCACTGGGCACAGATACACAAGTATACAGAACACAAAGAATTAGATGGCCACGGTGGTGTGAGAGACACAGGTAGAGAGAGCTTTGTATCTTTCCTCCAAGCTGTGGGATTTCAAAGTATATAGGATGGCCACTTAAGAAACCATCAAGAAGATGATGTTTAACAGGCAGTTGAACCCATCATTGGCAGCAACAAAGAGACCAAGTGTATCATACTACCTATGCAGAGGAGCTTCAACAAAGTGTTTAAGTCACATATGAATGGGCTATTCATATTGTGACATTGGAATTATAGAAAGGAAGTCAGACTGGGGAGAGGATCTAAACTGTGCCTGGATAAATCTTCCAGTGCATGCCATTCCAGCAAGATGGCCACACCTATATTGAGTCATGATTTTCATGCAGTGCAGATGGTCACATAGCAGCCATGGACCATCCCCATCAGTGGAATAATCTCAGCAGCACCGAAAGATGTTCAGAAAAGACTTCCAGATACCTTATCCATATTGATACAAGCACAGTACTACATATGCTCCCATATTTTTTAACTCATTAGGTACTCAGAAAAACTCAGTAAATTTATATTATAATTTCATTTACAATTATGACACAGTAGTGATTAGCATTTGATATCTTACAGAAAGTGTTAGAAAAATATTATTTACTGGTTTAGATATTTCCCATAAGATGGTTATCATGTATCTATCTATGTATCTCTCTAATCATCATCATCATCGTCTATCATTATCTATCTAAATTATTTTCTAAAACCAGAATGTTATAGACACTTTGAGAAAAATGAAGCATTTTCTACATGCATATTAGACATATGGTGTATGTAAAAGCTCAGCAAATAAGGCTTTTGGTTTACAGCATATAAAATAAGGCTGTTGATTAGACACATTTATAAGTCAACTAGCTTAATGGAGACTTCCTCAGGGGAAAGTTCAATATCATTGAGAAGAAAATGTAGAAGTTTTTGGCTAGTATTCATACAATACTTGTCATGAATAGATTAAAATAGAGTTATTATCTATCTTATCACCGTAGGAGGCATAATTCTATTTGGAAAAGTAGGTGACTAATGGTGAAAAGGTGATTCCTTGGTTAAGACTAGTATTTCTCCTCTGATAATTACTCCTGGCCTAGACCCTAAACCTGAATGAGTTTGTGAACATTCTGTGGTGGCTGGGAGTTTACTTTATTTGAAAGGCATAATACAATGTAGGTGTCATATAAACATTTTTCAATTGAATGAATAAAATATTAAACTTACAATACACATTTCCACAATATTGACGATTATTGTAGAAATAAATGGCTTCTAATCTCTGAAATAAGTGTCTACAAAAATAGAGGAAATTAAGGATATGGAAAAGCACATTGTATATTTGATGAGTGTCAAAACTGTCTGGAGCAGGATAAATGTGGACAATTGTAAGGGATGGATTTGGGGAGGTAGCCTGGATCCTGGTCATCCAGGGTCTTGTATGCCAAGGTAGAAAGATAGCATTTTATTGAGTGTAGAATAGAAATCCACCATGGGGTTTTTGAGTAGAAGAGTGGTATAATATTAAAAAGATTTTCAAAAGATCGTCTGGGCTACTTCATGAAGTAACATTATTAAGGCCAAAATATGAGTGGAGAGACTTTGCAGGAGACTATTAGAGTAGGCCAGGGGGTAACAAGATTGTAGTGAGAAGGATCCAATTGGGATATTTTGAAGGGAGAGTTAACAGGGTTTGAAAAAAATGTATTGATAAATAATATGAAAAAATAGAGAAGTGAAGTAGAGTGTAAAATTTTTAGTATAAACAATAACGTGGTAGGTAGTAACATTTAATGTAATGAAAATAAGAAATGGGTTAATTTGGAAAATTAAAAATTGATATCATTTGAACACATCAGTTGGTTGTCACCTACAAAAGATCCACTCATAATTAGCTCTTCTCACTTTAAAAATGTAAGTTATCTTAAGTGGTTTCTTGAGTATTATACATCTGTGAATTTATACAGGATGCATCTTTATGTGGAACTCCCTTCCCATCCTCTCTTGTAGTTACCACCTTTCCTTTATAGCTCAACTAAGACATTGCTTCCTCTGAAAAGTCTTTCCTGATCCTAGTTTGATTTAAGTGTTCTAGAGTTGTGAACACTTACAATAATGTGAATATATTTATTATGATACCTATTAAATTGGTATTTAATTTATTGCCCTTGGTATTTTATTTACTAAATTACTGAGAGTACAAAACCATGCCTTTTTCAACTTTGCAATTCCAAAGTCTATGACAGATTTGACATAGATACTGCATACACATTTTTAATTGAATGAACAAACAAAATATTAAAATCATAATACATTTAAAGTTTTCCCCCTTGTTTTATAGGTAAACTGCTTCTATGATCTGAAGTAAGCAGCTATAAAGAATAGATGGAGCTAAGGACCAATGTGACTGACTTTGTACTCTTGTGCTTCACGCAGAATCCAAAGGAGCAGAAAGTACTTTTTGTTATGTTCTTGCTCTTCTACATTTTGACCATGGTGGGAAACCTGCTAATTGTAGTCACCGTAACTGTCAGTGAGACCCTGGGCTCACCAATGTACTTCTTTCTTGCTGGCTTATCATTTATAGATATCATTTATTCTTCATCCATTTCCCACAGATTGATTTCAGACTTGTTCTTTGGGAATAATTCCATATCCTTCCCATCTTGCTTGGCCCAGCTCTTTACAGAGCACCTTTTTGGTGGGTCAGAGGTCTTTCTTCTGTTGGTGATGGCCTATGACCTTGCATTACTTGGTTATCATGAGACAATGGGTGTGTGTTTTGCTGCTGGTAGTGTCCTGGGTTGGAGGATTTCTGCACTCAGTATTTCAACTTAGTGTTATTTATGGGCTCCCATTCTGTGACCTCAATGTCATTGATCATTTTTTCTGTGATATGCACCCTTTATTGAAACTGGTCTGTACTGATACCCATGTTATTGGCCTCTTAGTGGTGGCCAATGGAGGACTAGGTTGCACTATTGTGTTTCTGCTCTTACTCATCTCTTATGGTGTCATCTGCACTCTCTAAAGAACCTTAGTCAGAAAGGGAGGTGAAAAGCCCTCTCAACCTGCAGTTCCCACATAACTGTGGTTGTTTTCTTCTTTGTTCCCTGTATTTTTATGTATGCTAGACCTGCTAGGACCTTCCCCATTGACAAATCAGTGAGTGTGTTTTATACAGTCATAACTCCAATGCTGAACCCTTTAATCTACACTCTGAGAAATTCTGAGATGACAAGTGCTATGAAGAAGCTCTGGAGAAGAGACTTCATATCAAGTAGTACATAAGTGAGTTACCCACCATGAAGAGAGTCATTTGACTTTACAGTCTGTCTCCTTGGGACCCAGGAGTTTTCTTAAATCTGAGGCCATATTCCCTTTCTTCAAACCATTTACAATTATGATTAAAGAACTATATGATTGTGTTATTAATAACAGTTTATCTCCCTGCTAGCATGTAAGATCTATAATGTCTTGTTTTCCTTTTTATCTGTAAAGAAGTAATGCATAAAGCAAGGAGTTAATAACATGTAGGGAATTAGTTAGGACATTTTAGAGTTACATTAATTTTTAATCAAGTTATGCATGTATCTTTTTGCCTTTCTGAGACTTAATTTCATTTTTAGTTAGATTCTTGTCATTTAAGTTCTTCTTCTTATACTATTTAAAATAGTTAATGGAATATTTTATACCAATGCAGTCTTTTTCATCCAATTGAACTTGCACTATATACACATTTTTAGTGTAATACTTCTACCTTTTAAAGTTAAAAATGAAAGCAAAATAATCATAAATAGTAAAAATGGAAACCATACAAAATGAGGTAAAATGAGAAATAAATCTCCTGTCCATCTCTGAGTGCAGTCTCCTAGTTCTCTTCCTCAGAGGAAGTCACCATTATCTGTTTCTTAAGATGTTTCAGGTAATAATCTTTGAAAATGTAAATATATTTAAATATATGTATGTGCAAGTTTTTCTATGCATAGAAGTTTGCTACTACACATAGAAGGGAGCTAGGACCTAGGGTGTGGGACTTATAACTCTTCCCAGTCCCTGATCCTATTGTGGCTAGTTAATATCCAGGAGGCAAGACAAAGTCCTCTTGACTCTTCATGATGCACTCTCCTCTCCTCAAGCAGAAGGAAGGAGTCACTTTTGTTGCTGCAAGCTACACTGCCTGGGGTCAGGGGAGGGGTGGCACAAGAACTCCCTTGGCAGCCCTGGCTGGTGTCTCCCTAGGTCATGTGCCACCCTATTGCATTGGCTCTAAGTCCAACCTAGCATTAGGACTTGCCTAGGAATTGCAGGCCTTGTGTCCTAGGCTGCCTTTGAAGTTTACCCAAGACCCCAGAGCACTTTAGCCCACAGTGGTTAGACTTGCCAAGAAATTCTTGTTTTGACTTCTTGGATGAATGATTCCCCTCTGGCTAGAGCTGGTCCAAATGCAGTCTCCATGGGTGGGTGCCAGTTGAGCTCAGCATGGCTTTGCTCTCTGCTGTGACAAGATAGCACTGAGTTCTATACTCTTTTTTCCTCAAGTGCACAGATTATCTCTTTGCACCATGCAGCCACAGCTGTGGAATCAAGGAGGGGTGTTACTGGCAATTTAAGACTGTCTTTCCTACCCTCTTAAGTGTGTTTCATTTTGTGATGTGAAGTTAAAACCAGGTACTGGAGTTGCTCACCCAGTTTTTTGTTCTTATGTTTGTGCTTCTGTGTGTGTGCAATTAGTTGTTGAAATTCAGTGTTCCTGCAGGAGGGACTGGGATTATGGGTGTGAGCCATCATGCCCATCCAAAGAAACATTTTCTATTATAGGGGGAGAGAGACAATAAACAAGTAAGCATATAGATAAAAAGATAAAAGATAACAGAGTGGGAAGGTGTAAAAAGTGAAACAAATGATGTAATAGAGAGCTACTCGAAAGGTAGGGGGCTACGAGTGTTAAAAGGAGACCCAAGAGCAAGTATTAATAGTGTTTACATAACCACTTCCAGGGATAACAAGCAATAAACTGAAAGGACATGAATAAGTAAACTCACTGGAGAGGATTTTCTGTTTGTGGAAAGGGGAATTTTATCTGACCTGGATGAGTATCAATAACATCTGTCCTCGCTTAAAAAATACACATTTTATTAAAAATAAAATAAAGATGATAATACACACACACGTAAACATATTTTAGCAACCTTAACCTACTATAATTAATTCAGCTCTAATTAAAATACAGATGATACAAAATTAAACATACATATTTAAGCCATCATCTTTTTTCAAAACACGTTGTGTGTGCCTCCTGGCAGTTGGTGAAATTTCTGATGTATTCAACAACATTGATCTCCACTTTGTCTCTGCATGTTCTCCTTTTATTTTAATTTGTACCATTTTTTTCCCAAATAAAAGTACTTGCACTCACTTAGAGATGCTGAAATAAATTGATTGGTATAAAGTAAGGTATCTGATTAACCAAATTTACACTAAAGCCAATTGGCCTTTTCATGGATTATAACACTATGCACAACCACTCCATACTCAAACATGCATTTCTTTCTCCAATGTTATATGATGCAGCACCTAGCTCTTTACAGGACATTTTTTTCTTGGTGGGTCACAGATTTTCCTTCTGTTGGTGATGGCCTAGGCCACTATAGGGCCATCTGCAAGTCCTTGCAGTATTTGGTTGTCATGAAGCAATGGCTGTGTGTTGTGCTGCTGGTGGTGTCCTGGGCTGGAGGATTTTTGCACATAGTAATTCAACTTGGACTTATTTATGGGCTCCCATCTTATGACCCCAATGTCATTGGTCATTTTATTTGTGACATGGACCCCTTAATGAAGCTTGTCTGTGACTACACACTCAACAGATTTGCCTATTTTGCAGGTCATGATTAAATACTAGGTTTTATGTATTTCACTTATGCTCAGACTGGACTGTTTCCTTTTGGTGATTCGACCTCATTATTCTTTTGTCATTTTTTCCCTAGAGGACTTGGTTCTATAAATCTTGCTATACATAGTTATTATCCCTGTGGCATCTCTAGAGATACGGAGCCTACCATCAGAATTATGATAAAGGTCCCAATGAATTTAATTAGAGAAGAATCACCTTTGGAGATGCACCAGTTGAATGACTCAACAATATGTGTTGCAGTTCAAATGTGGATAAAGTATCCACAGACTTCTGCCCTTACTTCAAAGAGTATTTGTTTATAACAGTATTCACATGACTGATTTTTAGGAATTAAAATGATAGACTCAAAACATGATAAAATACGGATTAAAATTATTCTCCATCCTTCAGATTACCCAAGGTTCAACTATGTGGCAGGCATACAGGTCCGTATAACTGATTGGGATCATATGTTGTAAAGGCTATTTCATTATTTTACTTTTATTGGTATAAAATGCAAATATTTATATTAAAAAGTCACAATTCTCTCTCCCACAAATTCGAGTTTTTTCTTAACTTCAAAATTCTTATTTAACCTATTCATCTTTTGATGAACACTTGGGTTGATTCCATATCTTGGCGATTGTGAATAGTGCTCCACAAATTATGGGAATGTAGGTATCTCTTTGATATACCGATTTCATTTCTTTTTGATATATAACTACCGGTAGGATCTCTAGATATATGCTAGTCCTTTTTTTAATTTTCTGAGGAACCTCCATACTGTTTTCCATAGTGGCTGTATTAATTTACATTCCTACCAACATATTATGATCATTCCCCTTTGTCTACATCCTCATCAGCATTTATTTTCTGTTATTTTCATAATAGCCATTTTAACTGGGGTGAGATAATGTAATAAAAAGGATAAAATTCTGCCATTTGCAGCAACGTGGATGGAACCGGAGGATATTATCTTAAATAAAATGAGGCAGGCAAAGAAAGCCAAATATTGCATGTGTTGACTCATGTGGGAGATAAAAAATTGACCTCATGATGGTAGTGAATAGAATGGTGGTTACCAGAAGATGGGAAGGGTAGTGAGGAGAGGGGATGAAGAGGAGTTGATTAATATATACAGAAATACAGTTAGGTAGGAAGAATAAGATCATGATAGGGCAACTATAGTTTATAATTAATTGTTTTAAATATCTGCATTCCATATTTTTTTGTTTGTTTAGTGCCATTATAAATAGTGTCACAAAACATGCCATGCTTCTGTCCTTATGTTCTAGGGCTCTAATTTCTATGGGATAGCTTTTGAAGGGGCAATTGTTTGAAAGATATTTTTACTTTCATTAGAGATTGCTAACTTTTGTTCCAAAAATTATAAAATTCATATTTTCACTATCAGTGTAAGAAAATACCCTTTTTATTTTTGCTAGCTATAGCTACTATCACTTTTAGAATGTTTTTGTCAGTTTGATGAATATAAGGTGATATTTGTTTTTTATTTTGTATTTTTCTATTTATAGGTGAACTTCAGCACCCTATTATATTTGGCCATTTGAATGTACTGGTTTTTTTAAATTGCTGGTTTCTATCATTTGCCCAGTTTGCTATTGGTTTGTCTTTTATTTATTAATTGCTTAGAGCACTCTGTCTATTTTAAATATTAACTCTGTGTCCTCAAAATTGTAAATATTTTTAAATGGTATCTTTTCCCAAATTCTTAAACAATTTTGAAATTGTCGAATATGTTTATTTTGGATTTCAATTATTAGTTAAGAAGATTCTCCCATCCAGAGAATGTAGAAAGTCATCTCCTTTATTAACTGGAAAGTAAATATAAAGTAAATCTAGCTTTAGTTTTATATTAAATCTTTAATTCATTTGTATTTATTTTTGTTTATGGTATTAGCTATATGTATAATTTTATGATCGTCCAGATGTAAAACTAGTTTTGGCAAACTCATTTATTTAATAAACTTCCTTTTCCCATATACATCCCAAATTACTTATTTCTCTCTCCATTAATTTGTAAGATTGCTGAGGTTGGGGACCATGCTTTAATCAGCCTTATATTCTTATAATGTCTTGCAATTCTGGAACATAATAACTCATAGCACCTATTTGTTGAATGAATAAACAAATTATCCTAAAATTTCATGAAGTTACTAGTAATAATTATATTTTTAGGTAATTTTGTCCTGAACACTGGAATAAGGACATACAAAAAGACATACGGAACAAAAGAAAAATATGACAGAGTTTGTCCTTGTGGGGCTCACTCAGAGCCCCCAGAGACAGAAAATATTATTTGTTGTGTTCTTGCTCATCTACCTTGTGACAATGGTAGGTGACATACTCATTGTTGTAACTGTGGTGGTCAGCCCAACTTTGGATGCCCCTATGTACTTCTTCCTTGGGTACTTATCATTAATGGATGCTGTTTAGTCCTCAGGTGAAGCAGCTTGTTTTGGTTCCATATTTATATAAAAATGATCCATTGATCTTCCCAGATGTTTAGAATATCTGATAATACCTCTGCTATTTTCAATACCCCCTTCTCATGGCCTTCTAAAAAACAGCCAGGCTCTGCTTTTTATATGTAAAATCAGCATAATCCATAATCTATGAACTTCAAATATGCAATGCAGAGCCTGATAGCAAATATTTTGGAATACACCATTGTCACAAAAGATAGACAGGTGTGGTGGTGCATGTCTGTGGTTCCAGCTGCTCAGGAGGCTGAGGTTGGAGGAGTTTTTGAGCCCAGGAGGTCAAGACTGCAGTGAACCGTGATCATGCTACTGCACTCTAATGTGGGTGACAGAGTAAGACTGAGAAAAAAAAAGAAAGAAAAAAAAAAGAAAGATGCTGGCAATATATGATGCTTCCATTCTTTCTTTATTGATAGAATGCAGATTATTAGGTAAAAAACGGACTAAAACATATGTTTCATTGGAAAGACACTTCATTCATAAAAATCTGTGTGAAAATTTCTTTTGAATCAGGCTTGAAATAAAATTTTATCTGCCCCTGACTACAGGTAGAAAACATGTAATCAAAGAAACTCATTGTTCCTGCTTCTCCTCTGTAGTCCGGATTCATGAGGGACTAAGGCTAGGGAAAAACATAAGTCAATTTCCCTGGTAAATCACACTATATGAGTTCACTTTGTATTATTATTTTTATCCTTATTATTATTACATGGAGATTTCTTATATCATCCAAGCTCTTCCAAAACATAGCACCATTCTCCAAATAGTATTGAGCATTTGGTAGTTTATAAAACTAGGTCCTGCATTTTTGGACATGTAATTAATTTTCCAATTTGTACGGTTCTATTGAGTGATGTAATAAAAAAAATCTTGGTTAATTGTCTGTTTATGTTTATTGGTCGGAAATTTCCCTGAAGTCAGGGAAAGTTACTTCTCTTTGTGCTCTCTGTTCCTTGCACAATGTCTGACACATAGAGCCTACTCCATAAACTTTGTTAATTACTTGTTTCCTTGAATTCTTAATCTATTGGAGTCAGAAATTTTACTGATACATTCTGATAAAGTTTTTCTGTATCAAAAATGTATGTATGTTCATTCCATTCTTTGATATTTGCTATAAATATTTACTTTACTATGTTATTGATGCTACAATTATGGATGTTTTTATACAGAAATGTTTTATCTTAACTTTTTTACTTCTTATTTTTTCTGTCATATGACACCTCAGTAAATTCCATTTCCCTCTAGTGACTTTATACATTTTAACACCTTATTTTATTTACTTACTTTTCTTTTCAGATTTTGTTTTAGAATCAGGAGGCACATGTGCAGGTTTGTTACAAAGGTATGTTGGATGATGCTGAGGTTTGGAGTATGATTGCACCCCTGCCCAGGTAGCGAGCATGGTACCCAGCAGGTAGTTTTTCAGCCCTTGCCCACCTCCCTCTCTCCTGCCTCTAGTCATCCCCATTAAAAAAATTACGAAAACATTTGTTTTCCAGCCAACGGAAAATTTATTTTTCTTGATCATAAGAAAATATTGAAGTCTAGTTTTCCTAAACAGGTAAAATAATCTGCCAATCTAATCCATTAATTATTTCCTTTTTTTTAATGCTCAGAAAAATAGTCACATTTATTAAATTCTTTCATAGGTAGTCAGACTTGGTGATATATGTTATGAATGAATATATAATTATTTTTTATTTTTTAATTTTATTATTATTATACTTTAAGTTTTAGGGTACATGTGCACATTGTGCAGGTTTGTTACATATGTATACATGTGCCATGTTGGTGTGCTGCACCCATTAACTTGTCATTTAGCATTCGGTATATCTCCTAATGCTATCCCTCCCTGCTCCCCCCACCCCAAAACAGTCCCCAGTGTGTGATGTTCCCCTTCCTGTGTCCATGTGTTCTCATTGTTCAATTCCCACCTATGAGTGAGAACACGCAGTGTTTGGTTTTTTGTCCTTGCGATAGTTTGCTGAGAATGAGGGTTTCCAGCTTCATCCATGTCCCTACAAAGGACATGAACTCGTCATTTTTTATGGCTGCATAGTATTCCATGGTGTATATGTGCCACATTTTCTTAATCCAGTCTATCGTTGTTGGACATTTGAGTTGGTTCCAAGTCTTTGCTATTGTGAATAGTGCCGCAATAAACATATGTTTGCATGTGTCTTTATAGCAGCATGATTTATAATCCTTTGGGTATATACCCAGTAATGAGATTGCTGGGTCAAATGATATTTGTAGTTCTAGATCCCTAAAGAATTGCCACACTGACTTCCACAATGGTTGAACTAGTTTACAGTCCCACCAACAGTGTCAAAGTGTTCCTATTTCCCCACATCCTCTACAGCACTTGTTGTTTCCTGACTTTTTAATGATCACCATTCTAACAGGTGTGAGATGGTATCTCATCGTGGTTTTGATTTGCATTTCTCAGATGGCCAGTGATGATGAGCATTTTTTCATGTGTTTTTTGGCTGCATAAATGTCTTCTTTTGAGAAGTGTCTGTTCATGTCCTTCACCCACTTGTTGATGGGGTTGTTTGTTTTTTTCTTGTAAATTTGTTTGAGTTCATTGTAGATTCTGGATATTAGCCCTTTGTCAGATGAGTAGGTTGTAAAAATTTTCTCCCAGTTTGTAAGTTGCCTATTCACTCTGATGGTAGTTTCTTTTGCTGTGCAGAAGCTCTTTACTTTAATTAGATCCCATTTGTCAATTTTGGCTTTTGTTGCCATTGCTTTTGGTGTTTTAGACATGAAGTCCTTGCCCATGCCTATGTCCTGAATGGTAATGCCTAGGTTTTCTTCTCGGGTTTTTTATGCTTTTAGGTCTAACATGTAAGTATTTAATCCATCTTGAATTAATTTTTGTATAAGGTGTAAGGAAGGGATCCAGTTTCAGCTTTCTATATATGACCAGCCAGTTTTCCCAGCAGCATTTAATTTCTCCTTTTAGTATGTCAGAATCTTCACATTTAGAAGGTTCAATCTTGGGGCACTTCTTCTGTTTCTTCTTTTCTTGTTTTCTGTTTTCTTTTCCAGCAACACACTATCCCAGTGGTCAAGGATTTTAAATATTTATACTTAATAGAGATAGTCTCCCCTAATTACTAATCTTTTTCAGCTTTTTTGCAATTTCTAAATATTTATTTTTCCTAATAAATCTTAGGGCTGTTTTGTAAAGCTTGAATACTTTTAATAAAATTATATTTAGGGTTTCATGACCCTACTTGTTTATTTTGAGGAAAATGGTATACTATAATGTCTCATTTTCCTACCTAGAATAAGACACCTATTGTGAAGTCTTGATTGATAAATCTCAATCAAAAAGTGGGCAAAGGACATGCACAGACACTTTTCAAAACAAGACATACATGCTGTCAAAAAACATATGAAAAAAGGTCAATATTAGTGATCATTAGAGAAATGCAAATCATGGCCAGCCACCACGTCCAGGAGGGAGGTAGGGGGTCAGACCCCACCCGACCAGCCACCCCGTCTGGGAGGGAGGTGGGGGGTCAACCCCGCCAGGCCATCTGCCCCATCCGGGAGGGAGGTGGGGGGCGCCTCCGCCCGGCCACTGCCCTGTCTGGGAGGTGGGGGGCGCCTCTGCCCGGCCACCCCATCTGGGAAGTGAGGAGCCCCTCTGCCCAGCCACCACCCCGTCTGGGTTGTGTACCCAACAGCTCATTGAGAACGGGCCATGATGACAATGGCGGTTTTGTCAAATAGAAAAGGGGGAAATGTGGGGAAAAGAAAGAGAGATCAGATTGTTACTGTGTCTGTGTAGAAAGAAGTAGACATGGGAGACTCCATTTTGTTCTGTACTAAGAAAAATTCTTCTGCCTTGGGATGCTGTTAATCTATAACCTTACCCCCAACCCCGTGCTCTCTGAACCATGTGCTGTATCCACTCAGGGTTAAATGGATTAAGGGTGGTGCAAGATGTGCTTTGTTAAACAGATGCTTGAAGGCAGCATGCTCGTTAAGAGTCATCACCACTCCCTAATCTCTAGTACCCAGGGACACAAACACTGCGGAAGGCCGCAGGGTCCTCTGTCTAGGAAAACCAGAGACCCTTGTTCACATGTTTATCTGCTGACCTTCCCTCGGCTATTGTCCTATGACCCTGCCAAATCCCCCTCTCTGAGAAACACCCAAGAATGATCAATAAATACTAAAAAAAAATAAAAAAAAAGAGAAATGTAAATCAAAACCACAGTGAGATACCATCTCACATCAGTCAGAATGGCTATTATTAAAAAGTAAAAAAAAAATACAGGTGCTGGCGAGGTTGCAGAGAAAAAGGAATGCTTATACAGCGTTGATTGGGGTGTAAATTAGTTCACCCATTGTGGAAAACCATGTGGCAATTCCTCAAAGACCTAAAAATGGAGCTAATATTTGATCCAGCCACCCCATTACTGGTTATATACCCAAAAGAATATAAATCATTCTAACATAAAGACACATGCATGCACATGCCCATTGCAGCACTATTAATTGCAAAGATGCGGAACAAACATAATGGGCCATCATTGGTAGATTGGATGAAGAAAATGTGGTACATACACAGCATGGAATACTATTCAGCCATAAAAAAGAATAAGACCATGTCCTTTGCAGAAACATGGATGGAGCCAGAGGCCATTATCCTTAGCAAACTAACACAGGAACGGAAAACCAAACACCACATGTTCTCACTTGTAAGTGGGAGCTAAATGATGAGAACACACAAACACATAGAGAGGAACAACAGACACGACGGAGGGTGGGAGGTGTGAGAGGATCACAGAAATACTGATAGGTACTAGGCTTGATACCTGGGTGAGGAAATCATCCTTACAACAAACCCCTATGTCAGACTTCTAAAATGACAAACCTCCATGACACCCCCATAACAAACCTTCACATGTACCACTGAACTTAAGATTTAAAAAAGTTGTAAACATCTTCATAGTCTATATATACCTTACCTTTTGACTTTTTCATTTAAAAAGGGAATTCTCTTATTTACATTTGATTAATATTTTCAATGAGCTGACAAGAGAGGACTCAGTGTCTTTTCCTGGCATTTCCTGGCACAATCTTTAAAGCCACGGGCATAGGTCTGTATTCAGACACACATAGGCTTGTATCTGACCATATACAGGTTTGAATATCATTGTATAGGAGTCTGTATTTGACTGTGCACTCGGATCTGTATCCAGCAGCATGTATGTCTGTATGACCATATATATGTATGTATCCAGTGATACCTGGGTCTGTATCTAACTGAACACAAAGTCTATATATGAACACACAGGTCTGTATGTGAAAACACAAAGATCAGTATTTGATTAGTTGTGTTTGCATTTATATAAGTTTTGCATATGATATCACCCAGTTCTGTGTCTGTCTACACTTGGGGCTACATCTTGCCATACACTGAGCTGCATTGGACCATATGTGTGTTTATATCTGCCCATACAGGGATTTGCTTTGGGCCATTAACAGGTCTTTATCCAAGACACATGGGTTGTAGAATTATAGATATATGCTTGTTAGGAGGTAGGGTGAAGACTAAATTTTATAACTGTCAAAAAGTTTTTCAACACAATTGTAAAATTATATACTTCCACAAGAGATGTATGAGAGTTCTGGTTATTCCGCATCCTCAGTAACAATTGGATTGGTTTTAATTTGCATTTCCTGGATGACTAAATATGTTGAACATATAATTCTTGGCTGGTCTGTTGAACATTAAAAAAATCATGTGACTTGTCTTGACTTGTAAAACTTCTTTATGCATTCTAGATACAAGTTCTTATTCAGACATATGTATTGTAAGCACACCCACAATGTATGGCTCACTTTTTCATATCATTAACAGTTTTTATGAGCCAAAGTTTTTATTCTGATGCACCTGAATTTATCAATTTTTTTTTTGTATTCAAGGTCTTTCAGATGGAATATCAACAAAGAAACTTCAGACTTAATCTGCAATAAAGACCAAATGGATATAATAAGTATTTACAGAACATTTCATCCAGTGGCTGCAGGAAACATTTTCTTTTCCTCAGCACACAGATCATTCTCAAGAATAGACCATATGTTAGGTTACAAAACAAGTCCAAAAACATTCAAAAAATTTGAAATAATATCAATTGTCTTATCTGACAACAATGAAATAAAACTAGAAATTAATAATGAGAAATTTTGGAAACCATACTAATACATGGAAATTAACAAAATGCTCCTGAATGATCAGTAGGGTCCATGAAGAAATTAATTTTGTGGTATTTCCTTTGTCTTTTTAAAGGGAGGGGCATCTGAAAGACAGTTCATACTTTCAAATGGTTTTCTAGATTTATATCAATTACCTCTCAGCAGCAATATATCAATGCAGAATCTTACTGCATTCTCATGAATGTAGACTATTATCAAAATAAATTACACTGATTTAAAAAAAGAAAACTGATAAACTTCTTGAAACAAATAATGGAAACAAATATACCAAAATCTATCAAATACAGAGAAAGCATTACTCAGATGGAAGTTTATAGCTATAAGTGCTTACACCAAAAAAACCCCTTCAAATAAACAAGTGAATAAAGCATCTTAAAGGAGTAGAAAAGCAAGAGGAAATAAAGCCAAAAACTAGAGGAAAATAAATGATAACGATCACAGCAGAAATAAATAAAAATACGAAATATCAATGAAACAAAAGGTTGTTTTTTTTTAAAGTTAAACAAAATTGATAGAACTTAACCAGACTAAGGAAAAAGATCCAAATGAATATAATCAGAAATGAAAAAGGAGACATTAAAATTGATACTGCATAAATTCAAAGGATCATTAGTGGCTACTATGAACAATTATATGCCAATAAATTGGAAAATCTATAAGAAATGGACAAATTCCTAGATGCAAATAACCTACCAAGATTGAATGAGGAAGAAATACAAAATCTGAGCAGACTGAAGTCATAATAAAGTCTCCAAGTAAAGAAAAGCCCAGGAGCTGATAGCTTCACATCTGAATTCTACTAAACATTGAAAGAAGAATTAATACCTATCCTACTCAAACTATTCTGAAGAATAGAGGAGTAAGGAATATTTTCAAACTAATTCTGAGGCCACTATTACCCTGATACTGAAACCAGACAAAGATATATCAACAACAACAACAAAAAACAAAACTACAGACCAATATCTCTGATGAATATTAAAGCAAAAACCCTCAACAAAATACTAGCAAACTGAATTCAACAATACATTTAAAACATCATTCATCATGACCAAGTGGGATTTATCCCTGAGATTTCAACATATGTACATCAATCAGTGTGATACATCATATCAACAGAGTGAAGGGTAAAAACCATATGATCATTTAAACTGATGCTGAAAAAGTATTTGATAAAATTCAACATCCCTTCATGATAAAGCCCTGAAAAAGCCGGGGATAGAAGGAACAAACCTCAACATAATAAAAGCTATATATGGGAGATCCACAGCTAGTCTCATAGTGAATTGTGAAACATGGAAAACCTTTCTTCTAAGATCTGGAACACAAGGATGCCTACTGTCCCCACTGTTATTCAACATAGTACTGGAAGTCCTAGCTAGAGCAATTAGACAAAAGAAAGATATGAAGGGAATACAAATTGGAAAGGAAGAAATCAAATTATCTTTGTTTGCTGAAGATATGATCTTATATTTGGAATAACCACAACAAAACTATTAGAAATAATAAATTCCATAAAGTTTCAGGACACCAAATCAACATATAAAAGTCAGCAGAATGTCTATATGCCAACAGTGAACAATGTGAAAAAGAACAAATAATCCCATTTTAAAAAGCAACACATTAAATTAAATACCTAGAAATTAATTTATACAAAGAAGTAGAAGATCTCTATAATGAAAACTGTAAACACTGATTAAGGAAACTGAAGAGGACACACACCAAAAGGGAAAATATTTGATGTTCATGGATTGGAAGAAACTATTTTGTTAAGGTGTCCATACTACCCAAAGCAACCTACAGATTGAATACAATCCCTATCAAAATACCAATGACGTTCTTCACAAAAATAGAAAAAAAAAACTATCCCAAAATTTATATGGAATCACTAAAGATGCAGACTAGCCAAAGCTATCCTGAGCAAAAGAACCAAATTGGAGGAATCACATCACCTGACATCATATTATACTACAGAGCTATAGTAAACAAAACAGGATGGTACTGGCCTAAAAACATAGACCAATGGTACAGAATGGAGAACCCAGAAACAAATCGCCACACCTACAGTGAACTCATTTTCAGCAAAGGTGCCAAGAACATATGCTGGTGAAAAGACAGTTTCTTCAACAAATAATGCTGGGAAAACTGGATGTCCATATGTAGGAGAATGAAACTAGATCTCTATCTCCAAATACAAAAAAATCTAATTAAAATGGATTAAAGACTTAAATTTAAGACCTCAAAATATGAAACTACTACAAGATAACATTGGGGAAACTCTCTTGGACATTGGTCTGTGCAAAGATTTATTGAGCAATATTTTCCTAGCACAGAAAGGTATAAGTAAAAATGGACAAATGAGATCACATCAAGTTAAAAAGCTTCCACACAGCAAAGGATACGACCAACAAAGTGAAGAGACAACTCATAGAATGGGTGAAGATATTTGCAAACTGCCCATCTGACAAAGAATTAATAAGGACAATGTAGAAGGAGCTCAAACAATTCTATAGGAAAACATCTGGCTGAGCATGGTGGCTCACACGTGTAATCGCAGCACTTTGGGAGGCTGAGGTTGGAGGATCACCTGAGGCCAGGAGTTCAAGACCAGCTTGGCCAATATGATGAAAACCCATCTCTACTAAAAATATAAAAATTATCCAGGCGTGGTGGTGCATGTCTGTAATCCCCGCTACTCAGGAGGCTGAGACAGGAGAATCACTTGAACCCAGGAGGCAGAGGTTGTGGTGGGCTGAGATCATGCCATTGCATTCCAGTCTGGGCAACAAGAGTTAAACTCCATCTCAAAAAAAAAAAAAAAAAAAAAAGAAAACATCTAATAATCCAATGAAAAAATGAGCAAAATATTAGGGAATCCTAATACACTGTTGATGGGAATATACATTAGTACAACTACTATAGAAAACAGTTTGAAGGTTTTTCAGAAAACTAAAAATTGAGCAACTATGTGATCCAGTAATCCCTTTGCTCAAAGTATACCTAAAAGAGAGGAAATTAGTATATCAAAGAGATATTGGCCTTCACATATTTGTTTCAGCACTATTCACAATAGCCAAAACTTGGCAGCAACCTATGTGTCCATTGACAGATAAATAGATAAAGAATATGTGGTACCTATATACAATGGAGTACTATTCAGCCATTAAAAAGAATGAGATTCACTCATTTGCAACAAGATGGATAAGACCAGAGGTCATTATATTATGTGAAGTAAGCCAGGCAAAGCAAGACAAACATCATGATATCTAACTTATTTGTGGGATCTAAAATTCAAAACAATTGAACTTATGGATGTGGAGAATAGAAGGATGGTTACCAGAAGCTAGGAAGTGTAGCGGGGAGGCGAGAGGGTGGGAGATAAGGATGGTTAATGGGTACAAAAATAATCAGAAAGAGTGTATAAGGCTTACTACTCGATAACACAAAAGGGTGTTAATTGTACATTTAAAAATAACTAAAAGAGTGTAAGTGGATTGTTTGTAATGCAAAGGGTAAATGCTTGAGGGGATGGATACCCCATTTTTCTTGATGTGATTATTATGCATTGCATGCCTGTATCCAAACATGTAATGTACCACATAAACATACAGAACTACTATGCACCCACAAAAATTAAAAATTAAAATTTTAAAAAAGAATGTATATTCTGCGGCTTTTGGGCCCCTTGTTCTCTTATGTAAATTGGTCAAATTAGTTAATGGTGTTGATTAAGCCTCCCCTCCCCCTTCCCCCTTCCCCCTCCATTCTCCCTTCCTTTCCCCTCCCCTCCCCCTCCCTTCCTCCTCACTTCCCCCTCCCTTCCCCCTTCTATTTCCCCCCTCCTTCCCCTTCCCCCTTCCCCCTTCCCCCTTCCCTTCCACACACCTACAGTGAACTCATTTTCAACAAATGTGCCAAGAACATATGATGGGGAAAAGACAGTTTCTTCAACAAATAATGCTGGGAAAACTGGATGTCCATATGTAGGAGAATGAAACTAGATGTCTATTTTTCTCCAAATACAAAAAATCTAATTAAAATGGATTAAAGACTTAAATTCCTCCTTCCCTTCCCCCTTCACTTCCCTTCCCCTTTCCCTTTCCTTCTCTTCTCTCTTGTTATATTGCCCATGCTAAACTCAAACTCTTAGGCTGAAGTGATACTCCCACCTCAGCCTTCCAAGTAGCTAGGACAGAGAAACATGCCACCATATCCTTCTTTGTTCCTTGTTAGTTTTTTAAATGCTTTGAGGTATATTTTTTTTGCCTTGTTTCAGATGAGACTTTGGACTTGGAGTTTGGGCTAATGCCGGGATGAATTAAGACTTCGAGGGACTGTTAGGAAGGCATAACTGTCTCTTTAAAATATGAAAGAGACATGAGATTTGGGAGGGGCCCTGGGTAGAATTATATGATTAGGCTTTGTGTCCCCACCCAAATCTCATCTTGAATTGTAATCCCCATAATCCTCAGATGTCAAGGGAGAGAAAAGGTGGAGGTTATTGAATCATGGGGACAGTTTCCCCCATGCTGTTCTCATGATAGTACGTTCTCACAAGATCTTATGGTTTTATAAAGGGGCTCTTTTCCTTTTGTTCAGCACTTATCCTTCCTGCCACCCTGTGAGGATGGTGCCTTGCTTTCCCTTTGCCTTCTGCCATGATGGTAAGTTTCCTGAGGCCCCCCAAGTCATGCTGAATTGCGAGTCAATTAAACCTCTTTCCTTTATAAATTACCCAGTCTCAGGCAGTTTATAGCAGTGTAAAAATGGACTGATACATTAGAGGATTGAATTAATGGACTAATGATCACTATGGTTGCATATGACAGAGATTCAGGTTTGATTAAAAACTTCTACTCCAACCTAAAACTGTACAGCTCTGATTACCTGCCTTTCTAAGTGTTAGAATCTCAACTTCAGTTCTAAGTCTCTCTGCCTGTAAGCCTCAGGCTTCTTAGGCACAGACTTTCTATCAACAAGGTTAGGTCCTCCTTGCTGAGGATGTGATTAGGTAAGAGATTCTGGGGCTGGTTTCCTTGTCATTCTGGCTTAAATATTACTTGATTTACCTCAGTATTTCATAATGTAAAACATAATTTATTGTTCAATTTACTTTAGAATTTCTTTTTTCACATTGCAAGATTTTCACATTACTTGGAATTCAGTGACTCTTTCTTGACAAAAGCCAAGTCTTTTTCCTTGGCAAAAACCAAGTATTTTTCCCCTAGGGATTGTTCTCCAGAAGAAAAGTGTTCATTTGAATTTGTTCCAAATATTCTAATTCATCTATAAAAGCCTTACGGTCTTTTTAATTAAAAATATTGATGATGTAAAAGTCATAGACTATGTCTACACATATAAATGGAAGACTTTTTTTCCTGATAGAATAACCTATGAGATAGATAGGTTAAACATTAAAATTTCTGCCCAAGCTACAGTATGTCTTCAACTGGTATCTAGTCCTCTAGATGGGTTGTTTTATTTCATCCACCTTTGTTTGTAAAAATTTGTAGAAGATCTCAATTTCCTGGAATGAGATTTGGTAGATATACAGACATGCCTTTAATCAGAAAAGAAGTGGTCTTAGGGATATACTATTTGAATGACTGAAAGACTGAAGAGTTCTGCTTCTGCCCGTAAGAAAGCTTTGTCATTGACTTTTTCACAAAGTTAAATCCCAGCATTTCCTTGTTAGCTATAGAGCTAAACAGCTGGGCACATGAATGTTATAAATCCTTGATCACAGTAAAATATTAATGATTGTTTCACCATAATTGACAGAGAAGATACAAATTCAAGAAACAAATTTTGGTGTTGACGAATTTTTTGTTTGCTTACTTGGGTCACCAGATAATGGGCGTGTCCAGGTTAATTTCCACTAATTAGGTCAATATTTATATAGTCATGCAAAGAAATTATCTCTGTTTTTCTATGAAGAAATTTTCCAGGGGATGTAAAATTTTAACTACCTTTGTACAGTAGATTCTGGCATTATGTTTAAGTGTCTTTATATTTTGGACATCTGCTCTGGATACCTTTATACTTTTCTGAAAGATTGAGATAATAGAAAGCCTGTGTGGAAATATGGAAATTGTCACACTAGGAGATATTTCTAGATCCATGGACCCGCCATACATTTTTCATGTGTTTTAAGAACACAAATAGATGCATGAGATATCTTCAGTAACCCTCAGTGAAAGAAGCATTGCTTTTCTGGACCAAGGACAAGACCCAAGATGTGAATTTTTGAAGCAATTGACAAGGGATACTCAGTGAAACTTCCTGTAATGTTTTGAACTATAGCTAAAGTCTTAAATATCACGTTTTCATTGGAGGAATCTTAATTGGGAAAATTAAGCAAGCAAAACACTGACATTAATCAGAGTATACAAGTATATTTGGTTTTCATATATAGCCTTATAAGGGTTTATTTTCTAATTTGCCAAGTAACAGGAGAAACATGTTCCATGTTACACATAAAATAAGTAAACCAATAGATTTATAATCTAGTATGTAGAATATTTTATTATGTGATACATTAACATAGGTATAGAATTATTTTTAGATATATTTGATTAGAAAATTTAAAATTGCAGACTATGTCAATCGTGTTGGAGTGTAAAGAAATCAATGCCTAATATGTTCTGGAAGCATGATATGGTCTTTTATGTGTGAATCTAAAAATTATCTCAGCATATACAAGTTCAGGAAAGTATTGAGTCTACTCTTCTTTAGAGAGATTTACAAAACCATATTGCTTTATAAATTTTATCTGTAAGGGATTATTTTTGTTACTATGGGATTTTATCATTTGAAAAAGTCATGTTCTTAGGAAGCTGTGTTAAGTTTTTTTTTTGTCTAGAAAAGTGTTAACTTATTTATGTTGAGTGCCTTGTAATATTATATTTCAGTTTTTAAAGTATTAAATCTTTGATGACTTAAGCTAAAGAGGATAGTTTACATATCCTGGTTTTTACAAGTAAACATCTAAACTGCCCAAGAGAAGATTTATCCTGGTGAAATTTATCATTGATGATTAAAGAGAGAAAAGGAACTAAATCTTGCAGCGAGTAAGATGTGAAAAAAAGAGACTGGGCTATAGGTTTTATTATACCCTTTTGTTCTTCAACAGATGTGCCTTTGTTAGTCTATAACTTCAGCAATGACAGAACTCTAGAATCAGCTGGAAGTGATAATGTGAATGAGGCATGTGGAACGTTTATCACAAATGGCTTCTAAGGAAGCTCAAACTCTCTCTGCACACATCCTCCTCCATGGTCAGATCTACGTAAACGGAATCATCTTGTCTACATTTGAGGTTTAGTAATTCTGCAGTTTTCCTCAGCAGTGAATATCACAAAGTTTGGGTTTGTATCTCTACTTGTCGCATTGTTCTCTTTTCTTTAAGTTTGTCCTTAACTGTCAGATCTAGAGATACTAAGAGATCTATGTTGTTTTTATTTTTCTTTTTAAATTGTCTTTTCTTTCCTTTTTTTTTTTTTTAACTAGGATCTGGTCTGTGTCTATTTGTTATGCTATTCCCAAAGCCTCCTGAGTCACCCAGGGACCCACAGGAGGTTGTGCTTCCAGTATTTCCTCACGAAAATAAATTTTTCTAAAGAAGATTTTTAGCAGAAAACTAGCCTCACTTTTTTTTTTTTTTTTTTTTTTGAGATAGTCTCACTCGGTCACCCAAGCTGGAGGACAGTAGCATGATCCTGGCTCACTGCAACCTCTGCCTCCTGGGTTCAAGTGATTCTCATGCCTCAGCCTCTTGAGCAGCTGGGATAGCAGGTGTATACCACCATGCCCAGCTAATTTGTCTCACTTAATTATGAAACTAATCATCTTATTTCCTGTGAATATTAATGTATTTACTATAATCTCTCTTTTTTTCTGATTTGACCCCTTTTTCTTTCATTTTCTACCATTTAGCTCTCCTGCTGATGATCAGTTCAACTTTTTTTTACTAGAATTCTGCTTGCTTCTCATTAAGATATATTTAATTACAGGTAAAATCACTACTCATACATAATTAAATATGTAATTACTAAGACATACAATTTTATTGTGTGCCCCAAAAGGTTTTCCTGAATTATAAATGTTTTATTCTTTTTAACCAAAACTATTTCTATAAATCTTTTCAAGTTGACAAAGATTCACATGATTTGTTCTATCTTCAAAGTGAAGCATTCAAGAACACTGATAATAACTATAATTTATTGAGTCCTTACTAGATGCCAGCCAGTGTTCTAGGCACTTTACTTTCTTTTATAAATCAACAGGTAGTTCACTTGAGTTCAAAATTAATTGCTGAAAATTAAGCAATTAAGAGGTAATGACTATTGGGATCCCCATTCTACAAATGATGAAAATAAGGGTCAGAGAGCTTTAGTAAATGGCCCAAAGTCTCATAAAAATGGTGAACATGAGGTTGTAGCTGAAGAAGTGTGACTCCAGTGTCCACATTATTCACAACATGCTACAATTTCCCTTTGAGGGTGTCTTGGATCTTAAATAGGTGCATACTCAGTGAGAAGCTTATAGTCACTACTCACTGTAATAATAAAACCTATTGTCCCACAGACTACCATTTTTCATGTAACAGTCATGAGCTTGGAAAATTTTTATTTAATTATATACTTATAAAAAAAGAAAATTGTCAGCAGAATACCATAAAGGAGAGATGCACTACTAGTTCTGTAGATAGTTGTCTAGAAAGGATTTTGAATTTCTCAAATTTAATCCCATTGTTTTCCGGTGAGTAAACTGAGACAGACTTGTAAATGCGTTCAAAAAATGACTCAAATCCGTGCCTTCTTACACAGAATTTGGAATTTCTCTTAGAGTATGCTTCTTTTTGGAATCTGGTAACTAAGATTCTATTTTTGAGTACTCTTGGTGTCTAAATAGTGTTATGAATAAAACCATGTCCAACTGTTCTGTACCTCTTTCTACATCGTCTATTTTCTCTTCTCTCACTACCTAGCTTATCTCAAGAATTCATGAGAAAACCACGGCATATTTGGTAGTTGGTGATAGTCATGAGTTAGTTAACTTGAGTTCAGATTAATTAAAATTAAGATATTGTATGTAAGTGTTGAAAAAATTGGGGTACAGGCAAGGATAAAATGGAGAGAATCACAGCTCCTTATAAGTTGGACCAGGAGTCAGACCAAGTAATTGATACAGGGAACAATGTGATAAATAATATCATAGCTATTCCTACAGTTCAGAGTCCTGTGTTTTAACATTTAATGAAAGACTAATGAAGGTTAAATATCCTTTGGGGTGTGAAGGAATGAATGTCTAATAGTAGAAGGGCAGAGTACGGAGTGATATATTTCAGAAGATGTTATTTTTGGTGCTACACAGATCATATTATAAATATACCACAAGTACAAACACAAAGGACTAAATCTATTTCAATATATTTATTTAGAGTTTATTACCACCACCAGAGAGTAAGTTTCTTGAGACCAAGAACCTGTTGCCTATTCAGCATAGCTGACTTCTGTGCCAAGAAAAATGTTTTAAATAAGAAGTTGTGAAATGTACGAATGGTTATTTGGACTTTAACTGTTCTTCTGTATAGATTATTCACTAACACTTAGAAGTGGAAGCATTCACCTTTTGGCTGAAACTAAAATATTTGAGGAGAAACAGAGTCGTCAAGGGAAGACGGGCTCTTTGGGTGAGGAACTCAATAGAGACTTACTAAATGTTTATTGTGTGTAAATCACTATTCAGGATACAACAATGAAGACATGCTGTGCGACACAATAGATGTAATCATATTCCTGTTGACTATTTCATTACAGGTCCTGTTCTCCTGAGCTCTCACCTCTGATGCAAGCCTGAAAGAAAAGTAAATGAGACAGAATAATAATATTACAGAATTTGTCCTCCTGGGCTTCTCTCAGGATCTGGATGTGCAAAAAGCATTATTTGTCATATTTTTACTCACATACTTGGTGACAGTGGTGGGGAACCTGCTCATTGTGGTGACTATTATTGCCAGCCCTTCCTTGGGCTCCCCAATGTACTTCTTCCTTGCCTGCCTGTCATTTATAGATGCTGCATATTCCACTACAATTTCTCCCAAATTGATTGTAGACTTACTCTGTGATAAAAAGACTATTTCTTTCCCAGCTTGCATGGGCCAGTTATTTATATACCACTTGTTTGGTGGTTCTGAGGTCTTCCTTCTTGTGGTGATGGCCTGTGATCACTATGTGGCCATCTGTAAGCCACTGCACTATTTGACCATCATGAATCGACAGGTTTGAATCCTTCTGTTGGTGGTGGTCGTGACTGGAGGTTTTCTGCATTCTGTGTTTCAAATTGTTGTTGTATACAGTCTCGCTTTCTGTGGCCCCAATGTCATTGACTACTTTGTCTGTGACATGTACCCATTATTGGAACTGGTATGCACTGACACCTACTTTATTGGCCTTACTGTTTTTGTCAATGGTGGAACAATCTGTATAGTCGTCTTCACCCTTCTACTAATCTCCTATGGAGTCATCCTAAACTCCCTTAAAACTTACAGTCAAGAAGGGAGGCATAAAGTCCTGTTTACCTGCAGCTCCCACATTATCGTCTTTGCCCTCTTTTTTGTTCCCTGTATTTTCATGTATGTTAGACCTGTTTCAAACATCCTTTTGATAAATTCCTGACAGTGTTTTATACAGTTATCACACCCATGTTGAATCCTTTAATATACACATTGAGAAATTCAGAGATGAGAAATTCTGTAGAAACACTCTTGTGTAAAAAGTTAACTGTATTAGAGTAAGAGTGCCCCTATCATGTAGATAACAACGATGTAGACAAGGTCTTCCCAGTGTGGTCTTCTTCCACATGTGCAGCGCAGAATGGAGAATTGGAGAAATATGTGATTAAAATAGATGTTCCTGTTCAGAATGAAGACTACGGTGCCACCTTTAGTGTAATTTATTTAAATACTTTGTAGAATATACAAGCACCATATTCACGAATATCTTTGAAATTCGCTTTTCTCTGACTTGGGTTGAAACTCAATGTGCAGTCTGATAATACTCTTAAGATAAATCTTTGAAAGACTTCAGAAAAATTTAATAGTGCGTCCCTTAAGAACTTTAAACTAAACATTTTGAGGATGAAAATCTGTCCTATCCCGTTAAATAAGTTATGAGATCAGTAGAGATGCTAGCAGAGGTAAGTGGAAAAAAATTGATAAGGAGGAAGATTGTAAACAGTAGTTGCAACTCAGATCAGCTTCAGTGGCAAGATACATAGTTTGGCCTTCAGCTTTTCTCTTCTAATTCCCCTCAAGTAAGAGAATCCTAAATGAGCTGTTCTGATCATATATAAGAATATGTAAATTCACATGGCATAAGGGATATATTATGGTATATATGAGGAGCCTCTGCCCTGCCCTTCATTTAGGAAAGAAGGATTTATTTTTCCAGCTGTTGGGTGTGCTGTTAGTAGACAGCATTCAGATGATGTCCCCTTAGGTATCTTTAGAAGTTGCAGAAAGCCACCTCAATAAAGGTCTCATGCCCTTTCTCAGAGCAGTCCCTCTTTGCGTCCAGGTTAACATTTAGGTTCAGGTATCATTAGAGTGCAAGTCAGAAATATGGTACTTTTCTAGAAAAAAAATATTTCATTTTGTTATGTTAAATAACATAAACTATACTATAAAACTACAGTAACCAAAACAGCATGGTACTGGTATCAAAACAGATACATAGACCAATGGAACAGAACAGGGGCCTCAGAAATGACACCACACATCTGCAAGCATCTAATCTTCCACAGTTCTGTAGACAACTGGGCTTTAAGGTTATTGGGTTCCAATGGCATTGTGTGAGTAACTTCCCATTATAAATCTCCTGGAGTCATTGTCATTTCTTTTGTGTTACCATATACAGATGGTATATTTGGTAAGGTTTGTAAAATGTCTCTGATGGTCATGAATGATGTTGTTCCAAGGAACTTGCCTGATGAGTCCAAACTCTGTATTTTGGCTAGACAGATCAATTACACTAGACTAGTGTTATTTACTGTCATTCCCATAGTCCTCCAAGCTTCTTCTGGGGAATCAACTATTATGATGCTATCAATGAATTAATTAATCAAATTAAAATGAATTTATTTTTATTATATTCGTGTATAAATTTTATTTCACCAAATTATGGCTGTATGCTAAGTATATATCTGTGGGGAAAAATGATAAACTTATTTTGCCTTTTTTTCTGCATAAAACTGAGCTATTCATGATATTTCTTTGATTCTAAATGTTTATCTGGAAGTATAAAGATATGGATATTGCAATTAAATTTTGAAAGAATAATGTGCTATTCTAGATAAGACAGATTAAAACGTTATATTGATAAAAAGGCAGTACTGTTTCAAATATATACATATGTAAATAAATAATAGGACTTACACATTACTTCAGTTTCCTATATATATTTAAATTGAGGATGTTTCATTTAAGATGTTTTTGTTACATATGATAGAAAACTCAATTCAAACTATCTTGAAATATAAGGATATTTACTTATTGGCTAACATAAGTGTAAAATTCAATCTTATGTCCAGCTTCATGGTAAGAGGATGAAATTATTTAATGAAAGAGTGTTTTTCTTTGCTCACTGCACTGTATCCTGTGTGTCACATATTGGATTTCATCTGGCTCTCCTATCACAAGAAGAATTGCTATCTGTAGCCATTGAGAGAAGGTTCTTTTTTCAACGTTAGCCAAGGTAATTGACCTGATTATGATGTGGAATGGAGGTGTTATAACACAGTGGTGGTAAGCAATGATATTTTTGTCTTCCAGGTGACTGACAGGGGCACATCTTGCCATGCCCTTTCTAATTGTGATAATAAGTGAGAATAGAAAAGAATCAGGTTCTGAATGATTATAGTGTACCAGGATGAGATATTTTGGAGATGAAGGTCTAAGCTACACCTTTAAGTAAGTCATGAGACCAGTAGCGGTGCTAGTAAAAGGTGAAGTGGGAGAAATAGAATTGACAATAAAGGAATAAGATGGTACATAGCAGTTGCAACTCTATGATCAGCCATGGTGGCAAGAGACAATATTTGTCCCTTAACCTTTCTCTTTTAATTTTCCCCCAGGAAGAGAATCTTAAAGAAGCTGTTCTCAAGTGTATATGAAGAAATGGATTCAAGTGACATAATAGGTAGGCTGTGATAGATAAAAGGATGTACTTCCTTGCCCTTCCTTTAGGAAAGAAGGATATATATTTCCAGTTGCTGGGCACGCTGTTCACAGACAACTTTCAGATATTAGCCCTTTCAATATCTGTAGAAGTTGCAGAAAGCCACCTCACCAAAGGCCTCATGTCCTTTCCCAGAAAATTCCCTTTTTGCAACTAGATCAATATTTAGGTGTCACTGGAGTGCAAGTGATAAATATTGCCTTGTTCTACAAGGAAATATTTCATTTGACTAACAAATTGTGAATATCAAATATGCACTGACAAGAATTGGAGGAACGTATGTAAAGGCATCTTGTGGATATCGGAACAAAAAAGGCAAAATAGATGGCTGCATGGGGGAATGTTTATTAGCATTGGGTTAATTTCTCAGAATATATGTGGCATAGGTATGTGATGACTAAAACTTACTGAGCACATATTGTGTGTCAAACATGTGGAAATGAGCATTTCACATTCTCAGGTTAGGATTGTCCAGCTGGCACCGTAACTCATCTTTTAGGAGGCCATTCCAATGTCTCATTTGTTCAGCTTCTAGATGATGACAATTGTGGTTATACCAGTAAATTCTATTGTGATGAGTTATATGTTTTAAATTTATTTACTAAAAATTTTCTTCTGGATAGATAATGAATGAGATACCATGGCAATGGATAACAGATTCTACTCCGTGAATAATAAATAAGGCAAGTGCTAGGAAAAATATGTAACCAGAATATATGATGAAAAAATGCTGTCCTCTCCAGACTGAGGAGTTGGAATGAAGTAAGCTGTCACAAGGTTGTTGGCTGGTTTCCCTAGCTACTTGTACCATGTTAAAGAGTCAATGATGGACATTGCTGATGGCATTTTAGACCTTGTGGCTTTGTAGAGTATTCATCTCTGCAACAGTGACTACAAAGGTAACTGAGAAAAAGGCTGACTGACATCCAAAATGCAGTTCATGTTCATGAGATTCCTGGAAGCTTCTTCTGCAGTAGATTCTTTTTGTTGGGCATTTATGTTGTAAACTAACATTGTAGTATTTGGTGTTCCTTTTGAGAGATTCATCCACATATGGTTCTTCCAACTACTTTGTCATCATTTTTCCATTTTTAAATTTCCAATTTCCTCATTAGCTTATTAAACCTGTTAGCCAGTGTCCATTTTCAGTGTAGATCCATAAGTATGGTTATTATTCCTTCCACATACAGCGGAAAACAAGACTGACCGCTCAAAATACTGCCTTCTGGGAGGCTTTTCCTTCAATCTCGTGCTTCCAGACCACCTTCTGCAGACAGTGCAGCATTTGCAGAGTTTTGTCTGTTTTTGCTGTTCCATGCAGGTTGGTTACTCCTTTTGTTGTCATCTTTAAAACATTGTTTTTTATTTTCTATAGCTTTATTGAGGTGTATGTGACAAAAATCTATAATATATATTTAAGTTGTACAGTGTGATATTTTGGTAAATATATACATTGTGAAATGATTACCACAATCAACACGTTCAGCATCTCACATAATTACCTTTTGTGTGTGGTGAGAATATTTAAGATGCATTTTCTCAGCAAACTTCAAGTATACAATATGGTATTACCAAGTATAGACTCTATGCTGTAACTTAGTTCTCCAGAATTATTCATTCTGCATAAATGAAACTTTGTACTCTTTGACCAACATCTCCTCATTTCTCTGTCCCGGCATTCCATCACAATCGCCATTCTACTCTCTGCTCTTATGAGTTTGACATCTTTTTTTAGATTCCACATATAATTAAGACAATGCCGTCCTTACTTTCAGTGTGGAGAAAAGGGAACCCTTTTACATGGTTGACTGGAATGTAAATTGAAACAGCAATTATGGAAGACACCATGAAGGATAAAACTACCATCTGATCCAGCAATCCCACTATGTGGAATGAATAAAAGGAAAATGAAGTTAGTATTTTGAAGAGATACCTGAATTCCCACGTAAACTGCAGCATTATTTATAATCAGCAAGATATGGAAACAACTTAGACTTTCCCGGACAGAGCCTCGGCCCCCCGCCCACGCCTCCGGCCCCCAGCGTGGTGCTGCTGGCTGGGACCCAGCTGCAGGGTGGCGGGGCGCGCTGCATGACCCGGCCACCGCCGTCCCCACTCCTAGGCACACAGGTCGAGGAGGACCGCGCTGACTACAAAGAGTTCCAGGACTTCTCCAGTCTGCCTGACACCCGCAGCATCGCCTGGGACGACTCTTTCTACCCTTTCCAGGAGGAGGAGGAGGAGCACGGCCTCGAGGGTGTGGAGAGCGTCCTGGAGGAGGGCGTCCTGGAGGAGGGCGTCCTGGAGGCGTGGGGCTGCTGCAGACGTTGGTGCGGCGGGGGGTGGGCGCTGAGAAGGCGCAGGAGACTGACCACAATGGCTAGACCGGCCTTGATGTCGCCTGCTACCACGGCTTTGTGGATATACCGTGGTGGCCTTAGCTGAGTGCCCCCACATTGAAGTCAACTGGCAGGACAGGGAGGGGAACGCAACCCTAATCATAGCTGCACAGGCAGGAGCTGCCCCTGGCCCCATGGGCACAGTTGCCTTAGACACTGGCTCTCAGCCTTGCACTTCCTGCGTCAGCATCACCTGGGCTGGTTCATTTGAGTTTTCACACAGATCTGGTGGAAACACAGGCTGCCAAGCGCTGCCCCTGGAGTCTTTCTTTGAATAGGCCTGGGGTGGGGCCCAAGAATGAGCAGAAGAACAGGTTTCCTGGTGAGGCTGATGCTGCTGGCCCAGGGATCCCACGTTGAGGACGGAGGGCTTTGAGGTTTTCCTGCCTGATGATGGCCAGGAAGCCTTCTCAGTAGGCATGGAAGACCAGCAGAGTCCCAGACCCCAGGAGAGATGTCGTCAGAGGGACACAGAGGCATCATGGAATTAAAGTGAAAATGAAGAAAGGAGCTGAGCATCTGTTTAAAGACTTTCCTGCGCTGTTTGGCTAAAGAGGCTGTTCTGGCCGAGTCAGGGCACTCTATCATCACCAACTACTTGTTGAACTATGGAATGGGTCTTGATCTTGAAGGATGGACGCGTTCGGGTTGAAAGCAGCCATGCAGGGTGGAACCGATCGCATCCGAGCCCTGAGCTCGCAGGGGCGGGTGTACACTCGAGGGCCCCTGCCGTGGGATGTCGCCAGAGGAGTGGCCACTTACACGTCCGCCTCATGCAGAGGCTCCTGGAGCGCCCCTGCCAGCAGCGGTTGGGGAAAAAGTACCAGCTTAGCTGCCTCCGCTCCACCAGAGGGCGGGGAAGCCCGAGGGCTGGAAGAACTGGCTGCAGATGGTCAGGGACTGCAAGCCTTCCGCGCTGACGCCGCGCTCCGTGTGTGGCCTGGAGGACCGGGGCGCCCTGGACCACATGGTCAGGATGACCACCAGCCTCTAACAGCCCCGCTGTGGCCCTCGCGTGCCAGACCGTGTGCCCCCAGAGCTCCCTGTGCCTGGGGAAGAGGCGGCTGGCGGTGCAGGAAATCCTGGGGGCTCAGGAAATTCTAGCGACGCGGCGTGGGGTGGGGAGGCAGGCGCAGGAGGCGGGCGAAGTGGAGGGCGCAGAGCAGCACAAGCGGCCCTGCCCAGAGGCCGCGGGCTCCCGGGAGGGCTCCCCAAGAGCCGGCCTCCCACCTGCCCCGCTGCCAGGGTCCTGGGGCTCTGCCGACCCCGCCCCGCGGAAGGCCAGCCTCCTGCCCCTGCAGCGCCTGTGGCGGAGCAGCTTGCGGCCCGGCGTGGTGGTGCCCCGGATCCGCCTCAGCAAGGCGCCCGCGCCCAACTTGCAGCGCCAGAGGCCAGCGCGGAAGGGCAGCACCAAGGACAGTGGCCACCTGCGGATACCCAAGTGGCCTTACAAGGTGGCCACGGAGGAGAAACCGGAGGCTGAGGAGGCCGAGAAGAAGCGCCAGGCCAAGATGCAGGAGAAGCGCCCGCCGCCCTGGAAGAAGAGGACGTGAGAATCCGCGGGTGCTTGACACGGGGTTCGAGGGCAGCGTGAGGCCGCGGGGCTGGGCACCGTGGCCCCTCCCGGGACCACCAGGCCGCGCGCGTTTCCACGCTGTCTTTCTAGAATGCTCCCAGGAAGGGGCTGGGGGAGCCACAGCGATTCGCCTGACACCAGCCACCCTAGCAATCAGTACACCTAGCGGGCATGTTGCCTAAAAAGCTCCCTTTAGAGAAGCTCAATTAAGATGTTTTTAAAGATCAATTTATTAGGCCGGGCGCGGTGGCTCACGCCTGTAATCCCAGCACTTTGGGAGGCCGAGGCGGGCGAATCACCTGAGGTTGGGAGTCTGAGAGTAGCCTGACCAACATGGAGAAACCCCGTCTCTACTAAAAATACAAAATTAGCCGAGCATGGTGGCACATGCCTGTAATCTCAGCTACTCGGGAGGCTGAGGCAGGAGAATCGCTTGAACCCAGGAGGCAGAGGTGGCAGGGAGCCAAGATCGCGCCATTGCACTCCGGCCTGGGCAACAAGAGCCAACCTCCGTCTCAATAAAAAAAAACCTCAATTTATTAAAGAGTATTTTCTGTGTGATTTTGTATTTTTAATTGTTATCCAATTTGCCAAGTTTTACAAGTGATAGTGCCCCTTGTATCCAAGGCAGTTTTAATGCACTTGCCTGAAGACCTTTTATTTAAAATACTGTTTCTAGCAATAAATGTGTATGATATCTGTAGGAGTTTACACAGAAATCATGGGATTCCCTCCTTTTTGGCTGTTTGGTCTTTTCTTCTTATTGTTGGTGCACATGCACACTGGATGTTTTTATTAATTAGATTAAGTGACACTGGATATTTCTGTTTGATGGATGGATTGACTCATTCAGCCACATGATCAAGTGAGAAAGAGATATCATATTTTATTGTATCTTTTTAAAAAGTATTATCCATACAGTCATATACTGGGGAAAAGCATTTATCATCAAATTATAAAAGAATGCAGAGATAAGCATGTATGTATTGCTAGAATTAAATTCTTTTTAATCAAGGAGTTTTGGATAAGCTGGATAGAAAATCTTTAACATATTCTAAATAGATATGAGGGAAAAGTGTCATTTGATAAAATGGGGGAAATGTAATAGATGATTACCAGAAATACAAAATTAAGCCATATATGCTCTTAAGTAAATCGAATCCAGACATCCTTCAAATGTAAAAAAAGGATGCAACAAGAGTAAGATGCAAATTAAAGGAATGGGGGGAGGTGATGTTTAGAACAAGCAAAGAGAATATAATGGGAAGCAAACTTATTTTAGGCAAATTCTCCTGGAGTGGACCAGACAGCCCTCTCTTGCAGACTCAGTTCCAAAGAGTCCCTTATGTGGGTATTTCTTTTATTTTTCCTTTGAGGACTGCACTTGGTGTTCAATTCAACCTCATGTGGACCTCATGGAATTTCCAAGACGTGGGGCCTTGGCATTGTGGCACCTTCCTGCCACGTGTACATAATTCACAGCATTACCAAGTCACCGCGAGCTCCACGCTCACCTCTGTCAGCCCAGGACCCAGCCAGGCAGTGTCACATGGTCTCCCAGGCATGCCTTTCCAAGCCGGCTATCCCTGCTGAGAAAGTTTTGAAGGCACTGGTCCAGGGAGCTGAGCCCTGGGCCTGTCCTAAAACTCCATAGGTGACTGCACTGCAGCCCACACGGAGAGCTGTGGCTCTAACACAAGGATTTTGAGAGGCCTCAGTCGCCTTTAAGTGGCACTTCCAGGACACCCATCCTGAGCTCTCACGAATGGCTCCACCTTCCCAAGAATGTCTAATTGTCATTGGAAGAGCCAGTGTCTGGCAGCTTTGCTCGGGCTGATGTGGCATCTGACCCTTGGTGGGTTGCCAGACATTCCTTCCTGTTTCCGCCATGGGAAGTTAACACTGGGAATGGTATGGAGCCCCCAATTCTACAGTAAGCCTTGGGTGTCTGCTGCTTCCAGGTCAACAATGGACATTTCTAGTCCTGACCAGCCATTACCACACTGTAACCGATGCTCATAATCTCCAGGGATGTGTAGAACAGCAATGGCAGGACAGCAAACAAATGGCGATTTCCCCAGGTCCCATGCTGTTCTGGAGTGGGCATGTTAGGTCCCTGTTCCCAATGTGTTCCAGCCTTACCCAGGTGCACAGGGTACCCTGGGGCCAGCACAGGTCTTGTCAAGTAATGCTCCTGGTGTCCACAAAACAGCTCCAGAGATACCTGCATTTTGAAAAGCCTGCCAGGCCAGCAAGTATGGGGCAGGACCCAGATTGCTTTGGCAAATCTGAAGGTGAGCTGGCCACTTGCCTGGTGAGTAGAAGCTGCCTTTACCTGGCCAGTGTATGCAACTTGAGAGACAATGACAACTTCACGGGGGGGTTTCTGGTGGGACTGGGAAGCCTGACCTCCCCTGCAGCTTTGGTATGGCCCCAGTGGAAAGACTGGATTTTGAAAACCCACCAGACCCAACTGAAAGAAGGGTCATCCCTGATTGGATCCCAGACTCTCCCTGGTCTCTCTGGGCTCACTCTAGACGTGGCTTGCCTGTGGGCAGCCCTTCCCTTTGTCCCATGAGGCAGGTCCAGGTAGCTTCTGCAGCTGTGTGCCTGGCTACTGGCCCAGCACTTCTTATTTTTGCCTTGTGGAAGTAGATTTGCTAGTAGAGGAATTTTCCAAGTCAAAGGAAGTGTCACCAAGCCTCTTTCCTCGACCTATGGCGAGCCCAGGCTCTTGGTTTCTTATTCTCTTTGGAATGGGCAGCAGAGGGCGTGAGCCGGCCTCCAGCCAGGCTCAGGGAGTGTGGGAGAGCAGGGAGAAAAGCCTAGATAATGGAGAACTGGAGCCACCTTGAGGGGGGTGTCCTGGGGTCAGTGTCGGGGTGATCAGATGAGCCAGTTTATATTTAAGCAACATTATTTTGTTCAATTATTTTGGGTAAGGGATTCCTCGGGGGAAGTGTGGTCATCTGGTCCCAGAGGTGGAGTGAAATGCCCACTCATCTTCCTGAGCCATTTGGAAGCCCTTTCTTCTAGCCCTAGGTACTGGTGACACAGGCTCCTCGGTCTCAGGAGGTGCACATGGCTGAGGGGGTGCAGGCTTCTTGTCACTTACCCACTCAGCACTATTGGGCATCGGGTATTCACAGGTCTCACAGTGGCCTCTCTAAAAACCTGGTGTCCTAGGAGAACATTGATTTTTTTTGTCTATTTTTGTTTCTTTGAACTTCTGCATTCACTCACTGAGGGCTTGCCCTCACTGCACCCCTCATGTTGTTCAGGAAGGAGGGGACTGATGAACATGGACCCCCTTCTCCTCTTCTGTCAGTTGCCACCACACTGTCCCCACCGGCTTTATCACCACGTTCTCCCACCCCTGTTGCCTCATCTCTTCTTCCTCATTCACCCTTCCTTCCTTTGCCTGTTTTCTTCTCCCAGTTGGTTAAGTTCTTTATCATCTCTGGCACCACCTACCCTGAGGTTTGCCCAGGACAGAAAAGCAGGGGCCTCTGTGAGGCAATGTGGTGTTATCATGGTGGGACCTCCAGACCCCCAGAGTGAGTGAACAGCAGGCCTGCCAGCATCTGTGCTGATGGCTAAGAATTCCTACACCGCCGTGCCCCTCCCACCCCCTCCTCTTTGCTCAGGAGGGAGACCAGGTTTGCTCTCTTGCAATGACAGCCCAGCCCCTGCTGTGCACAGGGATGCGGCTCAGGGTCCCTCCCTGCACCCTGATGTTAGTTAACTGTAGATAGTGAATTTCAAGTTGACAGCTACCTTCTCAGGGATTTATATATAAATATAGTTAAAGGAAAAGCTATAGTCTATTTTACTACTTTTTAGTGTTTGTGAAAATTAAGCTTAAACTGGACAGAATAAATATTTCTCAGACAATGGCGATGCTACTGATTACAAGTGAGATGGGTGGAGCTCGCCCCTTGGTGGAGAATTTTTTTGGTGATTGGAGATTGGGGACTCTGGAAGCAGAAATGGCTTTGCGGTGGGTGTGAAGTCACTTCTGTCCCTCGGAGAGCCTCTTGTGGATGTGAAAGCATGTATCAACACCAGTGAAATCCACCTCCATGTGCATGGAGGCACCTGATGAGAACACAAATGAGCCAGTCCTGGCACTTCCCTCCAGAACCGGTCACTCCTGGTCTGACATTGGAGCATGTGAATTAAGAGTGACAATTTTTTCTACTTGCTTATGTGAATAAAGTGTTCTACAGTCAGCCAGCACTAAACTCACTAGAAAGCAGGAGGGAAGAGCGTGCAGCCAATCATCTAGAATTACCTCGGTGTGCAGAGGCTGTCCCTTGGCTGCACTTGGGAAAAGCAGTGTGAAACATCCTGTGCCTCTTTCTTCTGGAGCTCCTCCTGACAGTTTCCTGGCAACACTAGAGACCTCAAGACTATGGAGATCAGAATTTCAACAGCTTTGTCGTCTCAGCATTGACCACTCCTGAGACCCGGGGCTCCTCCTGGGAGCAGGAGACAGGGAGTTCGTGATGTTCGTTGCAAAATAGGATTTATGAATGCAGTAGGGCCGTGCTGGACTCCTCTGCCTTCTTCTCCCCCTGCTGTCAGCAGTGACAAGGTCTCCAGTGTGGAGGCGAGTCTGTTGTGGGTGAAACAGAAGCCCCTGGGGTAAGGCCAGACCCCAGGCCTGAAAAGGATGCAAAGCCTGCTGTTTCAGGCTGTCAGGAAGAATCGTGGGTACAAAGGGAATATGATAAAATGCATCCCAGAGAGGAAATGAATGTGCCGTCACTAAGAAGTGGGTCTGGCTGCCAGGTCTCTGGCAGTCCACCGGCGAAAGGACTACATCCCCTGCAGCCCTGCCATCCACACTACATGATGTGGGAATGCTGTCTCTTCCCTCTTACCCTGGGGACCCAAGCCTACTTTGAGGAGTGAGTCACAGCCCTGATGTGTGCCTTGCATTATTCTTTCCCCAGGTGTGCCCGGAGACTCAAGCTTGCTCATTTCTGTCCTGACACATCTCGCTGGTCCTGCGGTGGTCAGAGTCCTCCTGTGCTGTGTCAGCTCCTAGACATCATTAGTCTTTCACGTGATAAAGTATGAGCACTTTTCTCTTTTACAGTATTTGGGGAAATTCTAACACACTCCCCAGGGATTTGCGCAGGTCCCTCTGGGTCCCATGGTAGGTAGTTCTATGGATTCTGCACCTGGCAGTCAGCACTCCCCCTTGGAAGCCCCTGGGGTCCCTGTTTCTGTGGGCCTGGTCCTTGGTTTCTACCCCATTACCTTTTCGCTGGGACCTGCAAGAACTGCCTGGAGGGCCATGGTCTAGGGAAGGACAGGTGGAACCCTGACCACAACAGATCCTTCTAAAACAACAAAGTCACCTTGATGACGACGACTGTAGTGGGGTGGATGCCATCGCAGCGGGCATGCTGGGAGCCGCCAAGGGCTTACCGCAAAAGCAGTTCTTCCCAAGGCACCCTTTGCATCTTCCCCTCCTCACCTCTCAGTGCATTTGGAAATTGCTTAGGCATTGGAATGACTTAAATCAACTGCTTGTTTCTGTGCCCCCGCACTCCCAGGTTCCTTCATTAATATTTTCAATAAGTGGCTAAAAAAACTCCTCTGGAGGTTGTTTTTGAGAGCAGGAAAAAGAAAAACACACACTACCTGAAATGATTTTACTAATTTTTGAGTGACTCAGTTGAAAGTCAGTGTTGCATACACAATTTCCTCATGCTGAGCCAGCTTGAAATAAGACTTGATAAAAGGCACGGCCCTCAGTAGCAGGCGGTGCCACTGTGGACAGTGTACACTATGGTGTGAGGGTATGCACAGGTGAGTGTAAGTGTGTTTACTCATACACACAGATAAACTGAAAGGACACCGGGCTTCGTGCTGGCAAAGGTTATGATGCTGCTGTAGCTTGTTATGGACCCCAGGCCGTGTCTGATGGGAAATGCTTTGATGGCATGTTGTTCAATGTATATAATGGGGTCTCCCATGGCCCAAGGACCCAGTATGAGCACTCCGCCCACTGTGGTGAAGAACACAGCTGGAGTCATCACAGCCCAGGTCTTTATTGAAAGGCAGTGTTGACCCAGAAGGCTCATGTAGAACCCATTTGGCCAGGTGTGGACCATCTCTCTCCATCTGACTTGACTTGGCTACACAGAGGGACCCAGTCCCAAAAAGCCCAGACCCAAGAGGAAACCAAATGACATTTACCATTACAACAGCTTTCATTAATTTTTTCCATAACATCATAAGAACTGTATTGCTAAGTATGCTTATAAATGCTATTTACAGTCTGTTCCCTTTTATTAGATGAAAGATTAATAAAGAACAAAAAATTGCCTGTAGTAAAACCGTGCCTGAGGCCAAGAGTGGTGGCTCATGCCTGTAATCCCAGCACTTTGGGAGGCCACGATGTGCAAATCACCTGAGGTCAGGAGTTCAAGACCAGCCTGGACAACATGGCGAAACCCCAGCTCCACAAAATATAAAAAAAAAAAAAAATTATGTGGGCTTGATGGCAGGTGCCTGTTATTCCAATTACTTCGGTGGCTGAGACAGGAGAATCTCTTGAACCTGGGAGGTGGAGGTTGCAGTGAGCCGAAATTGCACCATTGCCCTCCAGCATTGGTGAAAGTGAGAGAGAGGGAGGGAGGGAGAGAGAGAGGGAGGAGAGAGAGTGAGGGGAGAGAGAGAGAGACAAAGAAAGAAAGAAAGAAAGAAAGAAAGAAAGAAAGAAAGAAAGAAAGAAAGAAAGAGAGAGAGAGAAGAAAGAAAGAAAGAAAGAAAGAAAGAAAGAAAGAAATAGAAAGAAAGAAATAGAAAGAAAGAAACAAAGAAAGAAAGAAGAAAGAAAGAAAGAAAGAAAGAAAGAAAGAAAGAAAGAAAGAAAGAAAGAAAGAAAGAAAGAAAAAGAAAGCCAGCAATGCCTGAAGGACACTGTGTGGTCATCACGTCAGCAGGTTGACACTCACCTGGAAGTCATGAAATCTGTCCATTAGCGACTGATGGGTTGAGCTGTGAGCTCTGAGCTCACACACTGGGGCATGTGCCACTGCTCTGACTCACTCCTTTAAAGAGGAAAATACAACTGAGCTTTCTAATACCAAATATTTAATCACAGGATTGAAAAACAAATCATCATTCAAGGGAAATTCGTCTTTAAAACCCTTTCCTGATGTAACAGTCCCAAATCATAGGGATTACGAACTTGAGCCACTGAGCCTAGACTGACTGATATAGCCTACCAATAAGCTATATACATAAACCCATGTCTTCCTACTTCTCAGAACCATGAAATCAATCATTAATCCCTTTCTTTCATTTATTTTTATTGTGTCTTAACAATACTAGAAGCCAAATTCATTCTTTTCTTCAACCTCTTTTATTGATTATATGACTTCCTAAAACACCCGAATAAAGGTTATTATTCATCATTTCTTCAATATACACCCTTTGATATCAGACAACCTACATGAGAGTCATTGGAATTTATGGTGGTTCACAGATAATTTTTTGCAGTATTAAGTTTTTAAATTAGTCTTTAGTACCAAACCTCCCTACTCCATACTCTGACCACTCTCTCTGAGCAGTAATCAATGCTGCATTGTACCCTCAGGATTGGAAGCCATGAGAAAAAATCTTCCTCAAATCCTAACCAAGATGATTTCCGCTCAAGTGGTAAGTGGATAAATTTGCAGCATGTCTGTCTGAGGCTGAATCTGAGGGAAAAGGCCTAATACTTACAATCCACTGGTTGGTTTTCCTGCTCTCCTTATTTAACTTTCTTTGGTTTTCTTGAATTTTTTCCCAAAAAGATCTCATTTGCTTCATTATCATCTCCTATAAAAGAACTATGAATTTGAACATCAGAGAAACAAATGGCTTTTGGTTGTCAGACCCCCATTGATAAGGAAATCAAGGGATGAGATATGAAAGAGATTTGGGAAGATCTCAGACTGTAGAACTGCAACATGCAACACAACCAGTTTAATAGGAAAATCATAAGCAGGGCTAATTTACAGATAATGTGGCATCTTGCATCAGAATTGGAATCTACTGACACCGTGCCTTGCTAATTCTAGCATATTTTATTCTATTATTTCCAGTGTTGGTAAATAGGTTTCCTATATAGAAGGCTTTTGAACTTGTAGTTTAGATAGCCAAAAACTCTTTCTGATATTGAGCTCTTTACAGTGCCCTGAACACTAAACTAAATAGTCAAATTATTATAATGATTATTAACTTCATCACTCCCTCAGTGAAAGGTAAGTTCCAGGAAGGAAGGTATTCTCACAGATTCCATTTAAATTTCTATCATTGATACCTAGGCACTACATGACATCCAGTACAGAACAGAATAATCTCATGCTCTTCATCTTCCCCCTAATCTCTTTACCTGTGCCATCCTCCAGCTTACAAAGTGCTCTCAGAGCTATCACTTGCCCAGTGTTCCTTAGTTGCCCCTCACAGTGTGTGTGAGCCCCGTGCTCCTGAGTGTTCCAGAACAGCAAATGAAGCAGGCTCTTATCCACCGCTCCAAATATCATTTTTTCTCCCTGTGGATCCCACACATTTGTTCATTAGAGCTCAGGAATTGCCAGAGACTGGCTTTTATGACAATGCACACTGGATTCTTCAGAAAAATATTAGTTTTGACGTCCTCCTGCTGTGACAGTTCCCCGCATGTGGGCAGCCGGTAGGAATTTTGGCTTCTTCCCGGGAAAGGCAGAGACAGGGCCTACAGAAGCTGGGGCCACAGCCTGTGGTGATGGGGTCTACGAGTTAGTTCAGACAGAAGAGGCAGATGGGTTCTTTCTGGAAGGCTTGTGTGATGTCTGAGACCATTTTCCTGAAGGAAGGAAATTAGGAAACATATGATTAAAACTTCATCTTATGCCTTGGAGAAACAAAGACCAAAGCAAAATTTGACTCAGGTTGTGACTCAGTGCTAAACTTCTGTCTAGAGTAGAACAGGCTTTAGTTTGAATAAGACAAAAATAGAACCTGAGGCACAAAGAGAGCCCTTGGATCTCTAGGTAAAATTGTTGGGTTCATGCACAACTCACAGGGCACTACATCCTCATCCTACCATTTTCTTTTGCATAGAAAAATGTACCTCAGAGAGGCCAGGTGTGATGGCTCACACCTGTAATCCCAGCATTTTGGGATGCCAAGGCTGGTAGATCAGGTTGGAGACCAGCTTGGCCAATATGGGGAAACTCTGCCTCTACTAAAAACACAAAAATCAGCCAGGAGTGGTGGCACATACCTGTAATCCCAGAAACTTAGAAGACGGGGCAGGAGAATGGCTTGAACCCTGAAGTTGCAGTCAGCTGAGATTGAGCCACTGCTCTTCAGCCTAGGCATTAAAGCAAGAAGAAAGAAAGAAAGAAAAATGAGAGAATGAGAGAGAGAGAGAGAAAGAGAGAGAAAAAAGGAAGAAAGAAAGAAAGAAAAGAAAAGAAACCTCAGTTTAGTTGAGTTTTGACTTTACTCCAAAAAACTTCAGGTTCAAGAGTATGAAATTGAGACCAAATTACACCATTAGATGATGGGTCCTGAATACTCTGAAAACCATTCTTAATGCTCATTGTGATTGGATTAGAAAAGATTGATTCCGTACAAAAGAAAAAAATAATTGGTTTAGGAAATGGTATTTAACTGCAATTTTACTCTCATTGTTTCATTTAGATGTCATAATTTTCTCCTTTAAAGCATTTCAAAAAATCTCAATCACTATCCACCACTGAAAAGTGATTTCTAAATAACCATTATTTATTCACTGAACATTGTGAGATTTGATCAGATTTCACCCAGAAATGCAGAAGAGGCATTTAGTATACTCTAAAACAATATTATCCTCAAATTATTCAACATATTACCTAAGTTGTATATTATAGAATATTCTGTCTTGTGCATATATTTATGTGCCAACTTTAGAACAGAGGGTATTACATTTGTGTACAACATACAAAATAAAATATTCTCAATAAAATTTAGGATATACAACAAGTATGAAATTGCAAGATATCTGAAAACTATTTTCTGTGTTCTTAGAATACATAGGAACAACTAAGGAATACATAAATGTTACAAGTAAAATTAATCTTCACTGTATTTCACAAGTATGTAGGAAGACAGGATGACAAAATAAGAGTAAAAACATTTTTACTAAGTAAGCAAATGACATCACTTATAGTAACAAGCTCAGTTTGTTGAAAAATTAAACATAGGGCAGTCTGTTTTGGATTGGAAAAGTAGCAGGAACTCCTCCTCTGTTTGTTGTGTTCTCACCCTAGAAATATACTTATGGTCTCACTGAAACTTGCTGTAGAAGTAGTACTATAAAGTCTGATCAGGGATCAGGGCCCCACCATATAGTGGTAGTAGCTTTCAGACATCTTCACAGCCAGTTCCAAGCCACTCTGTGTGTCCCAGAAAAGAATGAGCTTGGCTACTTGTACCTCTTTATATTGAATCTCTGAAAAATCACACCCATTTCAAACAGGTTGTCCATTTCTTGGAGTTTGAGATAGCCATTAGGGTTCTTGATTAGGTTTCACCAGAAGAGAGGAAATGATGGATTCAACACCTTGGCTAATCTCCCTAAACAAACTTTAAACTTCCTCTTATCAAGAACCACTGAGTTTACAACAAATGAACCCTCAAATACCAAACTTGTAGATAATTTTTGGAGTTCTTTAATATTTTACTCATCAAAAGATGAGAAAGAGGATACCATCAATTTATGATTTTAAGAAATGTCTTCAAAAGTCTGGAATAGTTTTTCTCCCTTTTCTTTTTGCTTTATTTTTTTCTGTTTTTGGAAATGTTTTGCCTGAAGTTGGCTTTAATTCTAATAGTCACTGAACTAGACTGGAAATGCACTTAGGTGTTGCTTTTGAAGCTTGATTTCAGGTTTTAATGTAGTACTGTCAATTTATATATATGTAATATATTTTATACATATATAATATATAATGTATGTATTTTATCTATAATATATAATAATATGTATTTTATATATATTATGTATAGATACACACACACACATATATATATATATACACACACACACACACACACATATATATATATATTCTGGTTCTGTAGCCTAGGCTGGAGTGCAATGGTGCAATCACAGCTCACAGCAGCCTTAAACTGCTAGACTCAAGTGATTCTTTTGCCTCATTTTCTCACAGAGCCGAAATTACAGACGTGAGCCACTGCACCCAGCCTATTAATTTATGTTGCTGATAAAAACATAAGAATTGTCTTTATTATAAATTAAGAAACAGAATATCTTTAAGGAAATATTATATCTTTTAGGAAAAATAAAATCTTCAGTAGTTATAGACTCCTGTGAAAACCGCCGTTACCAATAGCAATTTTGTGTACGTCTATATAACACATACATATGTAAATATATATAATATATACATGAATTTTTTCACATTTGGCAGTCATTTAAGAAATTCTTTTACCATATAAGTTCTAATTTATATTGGTAGAAGTGAAATAAGTAAAATTTGCTGTTTAGTGAAAACTGTTTAGCAAGTGAAATGAAGCTGCAGAAAGTGTGAATTGGATAATAGATATAAAGATATGTCATGAAGGCTTCACAGATGGACAAATAGAGGTAAACTAGGAGAGTGATAGTGACATAAGGAGGATGAGAGTATCATGTATGTCCTTTATAGACAGCATAATGTGTGATTGACTGTAGCACACAGTAGAGCTAAGTAGAGAAGATGAGGAGAGTACATATTCAAGGGTATAATGTTTGATAATTTTTTCAGAGTAAGCAAATGAATGGAATTCAGGAAGCCAAACAATCCCCATTTTGGATGTATAAAACATAAATTTACTTTGTTTTGAATGTGTAAAACAATATATTTTGGCTGATATTTAGTATTTCTCTGTCTTTGTTGGCTGATTCATTATGATGTGTTTAAGCTTGAAACCACCACCAAAGATGAAGAATCTCTTTAAAGCAGCCAAAATGAACTGTTTCATTTTGAGGGAACACTTAATAGAATGACAACAGACTGCTCCATAATCATAAATGTAAGTATAAGACAGTGGACTAATATTTGTAAAGTGTCAAAAATGTGACTGCCAATACAGAGATGAATATGGATTGGAAATACCTTTTACATAAGAGGATAAAAGGAAGATCTTGTCACATAAGTATAATAAAAAAAAAGGGGGGCTTTATACCCTACTAAGGGCTTCTAGAACAGCACCCATGAGATCTACTTGAAAGATAATTCCAACACCTCTGCCACATTTGAATCTGGCTTTATTAATTGCTTTTTCTCTTAACAGTGTTTCCTTTATGTATCTTTTCTGTTTCTGTATATGTCTGGTAAGTTTTACTCAAAAAGTGAACTATGTAGAGTAGATTAATATAGAAAGCAAAACCCGCATGTGTTCCCTTTTACTAGGCTGTATGTGTGTGTTTTGAGAGAGAAGGTTGAATCAATCTAGTCAGGAGTTGATTTGGTTTTGAGACTTGTTCTTCTTAGAGTTAATTCCAGTGCACCATAGATTTCCTGCTCATCTAGCATTACTTTGTGTTTCAGACTGGACTGGTTCAGCAGCTTTTCTCAGTATCTGCTGTATCCTCAACTTTAAGTTTCCCTCCAAATTCCGCTCAGTCCCCCAGAAGGCACTGCTTTGACCTGTTACTCAACAATTTTTTGCCTAGTTGGGGTGGTGATGAGGATGGAGAAGCATTTTCTGTCATTCTGATGAAGCTCAGTCACAGGTTGACACTGTTTCTGGGTCTTCATGGTTGGAACCTTCTTAATGATCCTGTCCAACCTTCAGATGTAGGTCTAAATCCTCCACATATTTTTTTCCTATTTTTTCTTTTTCCCCTTTCCAAAGTTCAATTAGTGTTACCAGCATCCCAAGGGCAATGGCATTCCTTATATTTCCCTTTGTACTTTTAAGTTTTGTTACACAGGGGAGATGGGGAGGTAAACACAGTTCTTAAAATGTGATATTCTCTGAATCTCTTCACAGACTTTAAAACAAATGTATGTGGCACATATACACCGTGGAATACTATGTAGCCATAAAAAGGATGAGTTCATGTCCTTTGCAGGGTCATGGATGAAGCTGGAAACCATCATTCTCAGCAAATTAACACAACAACAGAAAACCAAACACCGCATGTTCTCACTCGTAAGTGGGAGTTGAACAATGAGAACACAAGTACACAGGGAGGAGAACATCACACACTGGGGCCTGTCTGGGGTGGGGGTCCAGGGGAGGGATATCCTTGGGATAACTACCTTATGTAGATGACGGGTTGATGGGTGCAGCAAACCACCGTGGTGCGTGTAAACCTATGTAACAAACCTGAACGTTCTGCACATGTACCCCAGAACTTAAAGTATAATAATAAAAAAAGTGTTATGTCTTAATGTTGATGTTAAATTATCATAAATTAAATTATATGTATATGCATTTGAAAAATTAGGCAAAACATCAAATTAATTTATTTCAAACTTATTATATACGTTAAAATACTTAATACATACATATATATATATAATTCTCTTCTGCATGAAAAATGCTTATAGTTTCTCTCATTGATTTCAATGCTTCCTGCATCTTATCCTGGTTAATTTTTAAGTTTCATAACCATTACCTTCCAAAACTTTATGCAATATTCTAACTTCTAGCATCAATTAATGGAGTTCACAATTTATCTAAATAAAACACTGTAATATAACATTTGTGTGTTTCAATTCTTTTCTTAACTTCTCTTTGAGATTCATTAATTTGTTGCATTTCAGTGTTATCTCTGTTTTGTAAAATTATTTTGTACGATGAGATCACAATTTATTTAGCAATTCTACTGTTGTTGAATATTTATTTTGTCTCCAATTTGAGCTACTATAAAAATTGCTGCAATGATCAACATTGTGTTTATCTTGAAATACACATAGGCAGTCTGAGGAATATATTTTAGAATTAGAATATCTAGCCCATAAGGAATGCTCATAGTCAGTTCGCCAAAAAGTATTTCAGCTTACATCCCTCCAGGCATGAATTACTTTCATTGATTCTTTATCTTTCACAACACACAATATTATGTGTTTTTACATTTTGCTACTTTTTATGGAGGCCTGTGGTTCAACTTATGGATTAATTTTTATTATTCTGAGGACTAATAAAAGTAATCCCTTTTTCATATTTGTCCAGATATTCATGCCTCCAATTTTATGAAGTTCCTGTTCAAATATTTTCCCAATATTATATTGGGTTCATTTTCTTTTATTTATTACCTTCATTAATCACCTTTATTGTATTTTATTGCATATATGTTGGGATAAATATTTTTCTCCACTCTTGGTTTGCATTTTAATTCTTGGATGGTATATTTTGAAACACAGAAGTCATCATTTTTGATATAAAGTAACTACATTTTTCTTCTTAATTGTTCCTTTTTTGTCCTGGTTAGGAAATCTTTCTGTGTGAGAATATTTTATTGTGTTCCCTTCACCTTCAGAACATGAATCCATGTGGAAATGCACTGTGTATGGTTTGAGGTAGGTGTCAGTATTCAGTTTTGTCCATTTGAATATTAAATTGATCCAGCATTGTCCTGATCCCCTTGTAAATTTCACTGTAGAATAGCACTCTAATAATGCATGAGCATTTTGTATATAAGATGAGATTTACAAAGATAAGCACAGCATAGGAGGTCAAATAAAATTACCTCAAAATATAGGTTCACAAATAAACACATGGATAAGTATAATATTGTTAGATGAAGAGAAAGAAAATATTTGCAGGTTACCATTGAGTCTTTTTACTCCAAACTATTTCATGAAGCCCAAGATCTCTACTCTCTTCCATTGATTTTAACTTCATTTAGACAACTCTGTCATCTATTATTTCACTTTGTGACATTCAGAAATAATTAAAAACCAGAGAATATAGTCTATGCCATACATCATGGGTAATGATTTTCCAAAAATGATTTAAAAAGGAACCAATACACATGGTTGCAGTGTTTTCACCATATTTAATAGAAACACTATAAATGAGTTTTGATGACATTAGAATGCAACTAAGGACATTAAATATAACTTATTTGTCCTGTTTGATGAGGTGCGAAAAACAGGGCTTTCTGGGATAAACAGGTTCCCAGAGCATATAGACCCATTTCTGACTTTTCTCTGGTCAGAAGTGACTACAGCAAAAGATAGGCCATGAGTGGAGGTGAGCAGGAGCAATTAGGGATGGTGTATATCAGGGAACTTTGATCAACATCAACAAAGCTCATGGTTCTACCTTCACAATCCAGGAATAATCCCACTGTGCTGGTAGGTCTTGGAACATATTGCACCACAAGTGGGGTGGTGGTAAAGAGACTGCAGTGAGTGTCCTCCTTAACACATCCAAGAAGAAAGAGTCCTTCCTCTCCATCTATCTTGTCATTCTGTCTCTTCTCTTTCCAATAATTGTTACAGACACCAAAAGCCCAATTCCAAGAATCCCCCACGTGCACCTCCCAATAATATTTGCCAGATGTGAAAGCCTGAGCCCCCCAATACAAGAAAACATTCAGATTTTGCAGTGATATCGGGATCATCTTGAGGGTCACATCCAACATTCATGCTTCTCAAATCTCCATACAGGAAGATATGACTATTGACTCTTTCAGGCTGCAGAGTAAAATCAACTGCAAAAATAATTTTAAAAAAAATATAGATACATGTAATTAATAGAAATTAGAATTCATTAGGGAAAATTATTCTACCAAGAGTTTACTTTACCAAGATATTGGAAGTTACAAGGACAGGAGAATTGTGACTACAATATTTAATAAACTATAAGGATGATTAATATTCTCTATAGGTAGAACAAAACCCTAAAAACAGACATTGAAAATTTATTGAAAACTTAAAAATTGAGAGTCAAATATAAGACCAGCCTGTTTCAATCCAATCTCCAATGTAAAAGTGAAATATTTTATGCCCTGAATGCCCTTTAGCTATCAAGGTCATTATTATTAAAATATTTCTTGTTCTTAAATACTAGTGATACAATTTTGACAAGAATGAGAAGATTTTAGCTTACTCAAGCACCACTCCAGATAACTGGATAAAAGTCCATATGTTCAAATTATAAGTTGTAACTTAAGGCAGATTTTTGCAAAAAATTTTACCAGTCACTTTGCGGACATCCCTGCTAGCTCTAGACTGAAACCGAATTTTAGATTTTACATGTAGCTCTTCATGTTGTAACTAAACTGAAATTATCATTTCCATTTTTACTTCCTATTTACATAATAATTTCTTCTTTCTTTTTACATGTTAAGTCCAAATTTTACATTATATCAATAATATGTATTTATTGTAAGAAAGTACAAATACTCCAACAAACTTCAGTGAACTCTATTCCCCAATGAAATATGTTTAACAATTCAAATGAAATACAGTAAAGAAATGTAAATGTTTATGTAACCTTGGATTATTACACTTCCTTCTGAGCATTGTTCCATTTATTCAATTTTTTATTTCTTATGTCATTCCATTTACCCAATATATAACTCTATCCATGTGAGCCCAGAACATATTTGTTTTTCACTATGTTTTACTCTTCAGGTTATAAATTGGACTATAAATAGAAACAGGGATGTAAAAAGGTTGCATCATCATATGGTTCACTTCCTGCTGAAATGAAATAAAGATTTGATGAAGGGTAAAATATTACCCCCATGATTCTAACAAGAAGTAATACACTGTGGGAATTCTGCCAATGGGCTGACACTTACCTCTGAATCCACTGAGCCTGTCCAGCAGTCCAGTGATGGGCCCTGCACTGAGCTCTGGATTCACAGGCTCAGACACTTGCAGCAGCAGGGACTCATACCTGCAAGGAGAAAGATACAGCTACCACATCTACAGCCAAAAAAAATACATAAAAGTCACCACTTTTATTTAAAAGACATTTCATGAGAAGCCCTTTAACCCACACATTTGCTAATTCCAATATTATCATTTTCTTTTTCAAATTCATTCTTATTCACAGTTCCTGATTTTCAAGCACGATGGTAAAGTCTCTCTGACTGAGAATTCATTCGGATCTTTCTTTGTATTGCTCCAAATTAGTAAGGATCATTAGTCTTAAGACTGGGAGAATATTCAAAAATGAAATTCTGGGTTCCAGACCTCACCAGAAATTCCTGAAATCACTGTCTGGAAAAGTGGGGTTATTTTTAAGACTGCTGCATCTGTTGCTTCCTTCTCAAGGCCAGGGTGTTGAAACTTGCTCCAGGCAGGGAGATCTGCCTTTTATAGTTGAGGTTCTCTGGAGGCCTACACGGTTCAAACATTCCGAATAGTTTGTTTCATCCATTTTTCAGAATTATATATTTAAATATAAACTAGAAATCATCAACACTTTTCACTGCTAAAATACTTTCCCCTTTTCTCTCTGGCTTCCCCTGGTTGACTTTGTAACCCTGTAGTAAACGTAATATTTTCTCTTTGAAATATGAAGGCTTTTGAGCAATAAAATGGAAATTAGGAAGAGAGATGCTCACTTCCTTTATTTTTCTTTCATTTATTTATTTTTTGTTTTATTCATTTATTTATTTATTTTTTAGGTTTTACGGAACTTTCATTGAGCTGCTTAATAAAGTCACTGAGTATGGCAACAAGTGATGCCTCTGAATATCTATTTCTATAAAGGACACATGAAATTCCTGTGAGCCTATTTTCTTGGAGATTGGGTAAAGCCAACTCTGAGTCCCTTTAAGCATCTCTCTTTTGGGCTTTCTTAGCTTCAAACCTCTGAGATTTGAAGAAGAAGGGAAATAGAATAAGTGCCATTCCGAGGGACTTATTTGTCTCTCATTCTGGGCCCCCTCCCTATGAAAAGGTCTGCATGTTACTTTATTGTCTTCACTGGTGCTTCAATTTATGGCTCTTTTGCAGGAGAAGCTTTTAAAGAAAATGCAGTCTTTATGGGAAAAACCCTGTGAAAATCAGAGAAACCTGAACTTGGAAACCACCAGAATCAGCCACTGGAAGGTAGTCCTGTACTACTCTACCTTCTACCTTCTCCAGGAACTTATGGTGGGCAAATGGGTGACTCTTAAAGTAGGCACTTGATATCAAACTGTAATGTTTCTGGGAGTCAATTTAAAAAAAAAAGAAAACATTGAGAAAAGGTGGTTTCATTTCTTATGTAGAATAGTAGGACTGTTAGATAGGATTTCTAACAAAACCATTGATGTTACCCAAAGCATGCTGGTTTGCTTTCATACAAAGCTGTAGCTATACGCCAACAGATACAAGAAACTGGGCCATCTTGCAGCATTCTATATGTGCTGGTTTGATAAATGCTGGGCATAAGAGTTATTTGGCAGTCATGGAAAGCTCAAGTGAACCTTCTGAGCCTGGGTCAGCATTAATCTGAATGCTGGTGGACAAGTAGTATTTGGAATTGCATGGAAAATTTGAGGCAGAAAGAGTGACAGGGGAAATCTAGGGCAACCATGAAATTAAGAATCTCAACTAATTAATATTGAATAACACATAACCTATGGTGAGAAAAGTGGTGAGAAATATGGATTTGTGTCTTGAGGGAGACATGTAAACATGCCCGAAATATGGGAACTAGTATCTAAATATAAGGAGAACTCTGAGGACTTCAGAAAAATATTAAAAATTATTTTCTCTTTGTGGTTGTATACTTTGAGGGTATGATAGCTAATATTAGTGTGTTGAAAAGTATTTCATAAGAACCTACTCTATGTTGAATATTAAATTAGAAAATTTGCTAATATAGAAGAAAGAAAGCATCTTTGTCCTCACAAATTGTACAATCCCATTGAGAGAGGCAAAAATGGTCAACATGCAAATATGTGCAATACATGATGTGTTCGAGTGTGGTAGGTTCTTTGTTGGAGAATAATCAAGCAGGGAATAGAAAAGAATAACTGAGGCCAGAAACTGGAGATTAGTGCCTGAGTTTTAAATAGGGTGGTCAGAAAAAAGACTCACTGAAAAATTCAAATTGAACAAAGCTTTGAAGAGGAAGGGGAGGATGAAAGTGTGTATGTATATATATGTGGACCATGAGTGTGTATATATGTATATGTGTGTTTGTTTGTGTGTGTGTGTGTGTAAAATTCTAGTTGGAGTGAACAGCATATGCAGTAATTTTGAGTTTGTGTATATTTGGAGGCCGGAAGCGCCGCAAAGATATCTATGTTTCAGATTGGGGTGACTTAGAAAAAGAATGGAAGGAAATGAATTCAGAGAGACAAAGATGGCCAAATCATAAATGCAGCCTTATTAGGATAGGTTTTGCTGGGTGAAATGTATTTAGCTGGACATGTTAGTCTAACATCATTTCACATATAATGAGTTTAAGCAACTTGTTGCATATCTCAGAAATAGAAATAATTATTTCCTTTCTAGTAACTATAGCTCCATACTCCAACTCTTAAGCACGAACTGTTCTTACTTTTCCATAAATATGGGTTGGAATAGAGAAATTCAAATTGTGTTTTATTTTATTTCCAACTATCTTAGAAAACACATTATCTTGAATAAATTTAATGTAATTGGTCAGATACATCTACGTTGATCTTTATGCAGAAAGAAAGGAAAGGAAAAAAATTTGTGGATTCTAAGAACTGGCAAGACTGAGGTTTAAACTATTGGATGTTCGAGAGACAAAAGGAATCAGTGAGATTTAATAGGAGATGGATAAATACATTTCCCTTTTGACTAACCCATTATCACTGCAGGGTTATGTGAATGTAAGGCTAGAAGCTATTAGAGCTGAGTATCAGAAGATGCCTGCATTTCATCATGAAGAAGAAAAACATAATTTGGAGATGCTGAAAAAGAAGGGGAAAGATATTTTTCATCAACTTCATTTAAGTAAAGCCAAAATGGCTCATAGGAGGGAGATTTTAAGAGGAACGTATGAGGAGCTGATGAAAATGTGCCATAAACCAGATGTGGAGCTACTTCAGGTACAAACTCACAATGTGGTTTCAGGTTTTTGACTCTTCACATGTGTAAGTATTTTCCTCATGGCTGAAATCCATCTCCCTACCTTTATTTCCATGATGTGTTTCCAAAAACACATTCACATAACTAATGCTACTTTACTGGGAAAGTATAGCCCCGCCAAGGGATTCTACCAGGCCAAAGATCCCTCCTACTTTATCCACCAGCCACAAAACTTTGTGGAATGGTCAAGGTAACAGCCCCAATAACTGTTCCCCAACTAAGTCAATAATATATTTTGGGTTGTCAAACACGTATAAAATAGTGAGTGATTCATTTACATTTAGATTAATTTGAGGACATGGCAAGATCAGAAATTTTGGGAATCTAGGCTCACATTAATACTATTTTGGGATCCACTCATTTGGGTAATAGGTTCTGGGAAAGATGACTGAGTAGGTTATTCAGACTCACCCAGAAACAATGCTGCACCTGTTCCCTAGGTGTTGGTTAATCCAGTCAGACTGATACCTAAAATTCACCATCACACCATAGAAATATAATTACAACTCTTTAAGTTTCACAAAAATCCTCCTATATGTTAGTTCAGAGTTTGGGTATCCCTAGAAGTTAATTTAATCCACGAGAAAATAGAAAGCCCCAGTATCTTTAATTATTTTTTATCTTCTATTCAACCTAAATTGGTTTATTGCTGTTTTTTATTTGTTTATTTGGTTGGTTGATTGGTTTTTCCATTTGGTTTTGGTATTGGTTTTTTATTTTTATTTATTTATTTTTATTATTATTATACTGTAAGTTTTAGGGTACATGTGCACAATGTGCAGGTTTGTTACATATGTATACATGTGCCATGTTGGTGTGCTGCACCCATTAACTCGTTATTTAGCATTCGGTATATCTCCTAATGCTATCCCTCCCCCCTACACCCACCCCGCATCAGTCGCCGGAGTGTGACATTCCCCTTCCTGTGTCCATGTGTTCTCATTGTTCAATTCCCACCTATGAGTGAGAACATGCAGTGTTTGGTTTTTTGTCCTTGCGATAGTTTGCTGAGAATGATGGTTTCCAGTTTCATCCATGTCTCTACAAAGGACATGAACTCATCGTTTTTTATGGCTGCATAGTATTCCGTGGTGTATATGTGCCACATTTTCTTAATCCAGTCTATCGTTGTTGGACATTTGGGTTGGTTCCAAGTCTTTGCTATTGTGAATAGTGTCACAATAAACATACGTGTGCATGTGTCTTTATAGCAGCATGATTTATAATCCTTCGGGTACATACCCAGTAATGGGATGGCTGGGTCAAATGGTATTTCTAGTTCTAGATCCCTGAGGAATTGCCACACTGACTTCCACAATGGATGAACTAGTTTATAGTCCCACCAACAGTGTAAAAGTGTTCCTATTTCTCCACATCCTCTCCAGCACCTGTTGTTTCCTGACTTTTTAATGATCGCCATTCTAACTGGTGTGAGATGGTATCTCATTGTGGTTTTGATTTGCATTTCTCTGATGGCCAGTGATGATGAGCATTTCTTCATGTGTTTTTTGGCTGCATAAATGTCTTCTTTTGAGAAGTGTCTGTTCATATCCTTTGCCCACTTTTGATGGGGTTGTTTTTTTTTTCTTGTAAATTTGTTTGAGTTCATTGTAGATTCTGGATATTAGCCCTTTGTCAGACGAGTAGGTTGCAAAAATTTTCTCACATTCTGTAGGTTTCATGTTCAGTCTGATGGTAGTTTCTTCTGCTGTGCAGAAGCTCTTTCATTTAATTAGATCGCATTTGTCAATTTTCGCTTTTGTTGCCATTGCTTTTGGTGTTTTAGACATGAAGTCCTTGCCCATACCTATGTCCTGAATGGTATTGCCTAGGTTTTCTTCTAGTGTTTTTATGGTTTTAGGTCTAACATTTAAGTCTTTAATCCATCTTGAATTAATTTTTGTATAAGGAGTAAGGAAGGTATCCAGTTCAGCATTCTACATATGGCTAGCCAGTTTTCCCAGCACCATTTATTAAATAGGGAATCCTTTCCCCATTGCTTGTTTTTGTCAGGTTTGTCAAAGATCAGATGGTTGTAGATACGTGGCATTATTTCTGAGGGCTCTGTTCTGTTCCGTTGATCTATATCTCTGTTTTGGGACCAGTACCATGCTGTTTTGGTTACTGTAGCCTTGTAGTATAGTTTGAAGTCAGGTAACGTGATGCCTCCGGCTTTGTTTTTTTTTGGCTTAAGATTGACTTGGTGATGTGGGCTCTTTTTGGTTCCATATGAACTTTAAAGTAGTTTTTTCCAATTCTGTGAAGAAAGTCATGGTAGCTTGAAGGGGATGGCATTGAATCTATAAATTACCTTGGGCAGTATGGCCATTTTCATGATATTGCTTCTTCCCACCCATGATCATGGAATGTTCTTCCATTTGTTTGTATCCTCTTTTATTTCATTGAGCAGTGGTTTGTAGTTCTCCTTGAAGAGGTCCCTCACATCCCTTGTAAGTTGGATATCTGGGTAATTTATGCTCTTTGAAGCAATTGTGCATGGGAGTTCACTCATGATTTGGCTCTCTGTTTGTCTGTTATTGGTGTATAAGAATGCTTGTGATTTTTGTACATTGATTTTGTATCCTGAGACTTTACTGAATTTCCTTATCAGCTTAAGGAGATTTTGGGCTGAGATGATGGGGTTTTCTGGGTATGCTATCATGTCATCTGCAAACAGGGACAATTTGATTTCCTCTTTTCCTAATTGAATACCCTTTATTTCCTTCTCCTGCTTAATTGCCCTGGCCAGAACTTCCAACACTATGTTGAATAGGAGTGGTGAGAGAGGGCATCCCTGTCTTGTGCCAGTTTTCAAAGGGAATGCTTCCAGTTTTTGCCCATTCAGTGTGACATTGGCTGTGGGTTTGTCATAGATAGCTCTTATTATTTTGAGATACGTCCCATCAATACCTAATTTATTGAGAGTTTTTAGCATGAAGTGTTGTCGAATTTTATCAAAGGCCTTTTCTGCATCTATTGAGATAATCATGTAGTTTTTGTCTTTGATTCTGTTTATGTGCTGGATTACATTTATTGATTTGCGTATATTGAACCAGCCTTGCCTCACAGGGATGAAGCCCACTTGATCATGGTGGATAAGCTTTTTGATGTGCTGCTGGATTTGGTTTGCCAGTATTTTATTGAGGATTTTTGCATCAATGTTCATCAAGGATATTGGTCTAAAATTCTCTTTTTTTGTTGTGTCTCTGCCAGGCTTTGGTATCAGGATGATGCTGGCCTCATAAAATGAGTTAGGGAGGATTCCCTCTTTTTCTATTGATTGGAATAGTTTCAGAAAGAATGGTATCAACTCCTCCTTGTACCTCTGGTAGAATTTGGCTGTGAATCCATCTGGTCCTGGACTCTTTTTGGTTGGTAAGCTATTGAATATTGCCACAATTTCAGATCCTGTTATTGGTCTATTCAGAGATTCAACTTCTTCCTGGTTTAGTCTTGGGAGAGTGTATGTGTCCAGGAATGTATCCATTTCTTCTAGATTTTCTAGTTTATTTGCATAGAGGTGTTTGTAGTATTCTCTGATGGTAGTCTGTATTTCTGTGGGATTGTTGGTGGTAACCCCTTTATCATTTTTTATTGTGTCTAATTGATTCTTCTCTCTTTTCTTCTTTATTAGTCTTGCTAGCGGTCTATCAATTTTGTTGATCTTTTCAAAAAACCAGCTCCTGGTTTCATTACTTTTTTGAAGGGTTTTTTGTGTCTCTATTTCCTTCAGTTCTGCCCTTAGTTATTTCTTGCCTTCTGCTAGCTTTGGAATGTTTTTGCTCTTGCTTTTCTAGTTCTTTCAGTTGTGATGTTAGGGTGTCAATTTTGGATCTTTCCTGCTTTCTCTTGTGGGCATTTAGTGCTATAAATTTCTGTCTACACACTGCTTTGAATGTGTCCCAGAGATTCCGGTATGTTGAGTCTTTGTTCTCAGTGGTTTCAAAGAACATCTTTATTCCTGCCTTCATTTCGTTATGTACCCAGTAGTCATTCAGGAGCAGGTTGTTCAGTTTCCATGTAGTTGAGTGGTTTTGAGTGAGTTTCTTAGTCCTGAGTTCTAGTTTGATTGCACTGTGGTCTGAGAGACAGTTTGTTATAATTTCTGTTCTTTTACATTTGCTGAGGAGTGCTTTACTTCCAAGTATGTGGTCAATTTTGGAATAGATGTGGTGTGGTGCTGAAAAAAATGTATATTCTGTTGATTTGGGGTGGAGAGTTCTGTAGATGTCTATTAGGTCCGCTTGGTGCAGAGCTGAGTTCAATTCCTGGGCATCCTTGTTGACTTTCTGTCTCGTTGATCTGTCTAATGTTGACAGTGGGGTGTTAAAGTCTCCCATTATTATTGTGTGGGAGTCTAAGTCTCTTTGTAGGTCATTAAGGACTTGCTTTATGAATCTGGGTGCTCCTGTATTGGGTGCATATATATTTAGGATAGTTAGCTCTTCTTGTTGAATTGATCCCTTTACCATTATGTAATGGCCTTCTTTGTCTCTTTTGATCTGTGTTGGTTTAAAGTCTGTTTTATCAGAGACTAGGATTGCAACTCCTGCCTTTTTTTGTTTTCCATTTACTTGGTAGATCTTCCTCCATCCCTTTATTTTGAGCCTATGTGTGTCTCTGCATGTGAGATGGGTTTCCTGAATACAGCACTCTGATGGGTCTTGAGTCTTTATCCAATTTGCCAGTCTGTGTCTTTTAATTGGAGCATTTAGCCCATTTACATTTAAAGTTAATATTGTTATGTGTGAATTTGGTCCTGTCATTATGATGTTAGCTGGTTATTTTGCTCGTTAGTTGATGCGGTTTCTTCCTAGCCTTGACGGTATTTACATTTTGGCATGTTTTTTCAGTGAGTGGTACCGGTTTTTCCTTTCCATGTTTAGTGCTTCCTTCAGGAGCTCTTGTAGGGCAGGCCTGGTGGTGACAAAGTCTCTCAGCATTTGCTCATCTGTAAAGGATTTTATTTCTCCTTCTCTTATGAAGCTTAGTTTGGCTGGATATGAAATTCTGGGTTGAAAATTCTTTTCTTTAAGAATGTTGAATGTGGGCCCCCACTCTCTTCTGGGTTGTAGAGTTTCTGGCAGGAGACCCGCTGTTAGTCTGATGGGCTTCCCTTTGTGGGTAACCCGACCTTTCTGTCTGGTTGCTCTTAATATTTTTTCCTTTATTTCAACTTTGGTGAATCTGACAATTGTGTGTCTTGGAGTTGCTCTTCTTGAGGAGTATCTTTGTGGCGTTCTCTGTATTTCCTGAATCTGAATGTTGGCCTGCCTTGCTAGATTGGGGAAGTTCTCCTGGATAATATCCTGCAGAGTGTTTTCCAGCTTGGTTCCTTTCTCCCTGTACCTTTCAGGTACACCTGTCAGACGTAGATTTGGTCTTTTCACATAGTCCCTTATTTCTTGGAGCCTTTGTTCATTTCTTTTTATTCTTTTTTCTCTAAACTTCTCTTCTCACTTCATTTCATTCATTTGGTCTTCCATCACTGATACCCTTTCTTCCAGTAGGGTACTCACAGCAGCTCTCCTGTGACTGAGATTCTTGGTTATTTTCTTGCTTGAGCAATTTTCTTGCTTGAGTCGATTGACTGCTGTGTATAGATGTCTGTTCGTGGCAGGGAGTCAGAGTATTCACACTGCAGAAGACAAGCTGGAATCGCCCTCCACCCCCATTTCGACCCAACCAACTTTACGCAGTGCTTAAAGGAAAATACATAGCTCTAGACACCTATATAGAAAGAATCTCAAATCAGTAAGCTAAGTTTTCACCTTAAGAAACTGGACAAAGAAAACTAAACTTAACTCATAATGCATAAGAAAGGAAATTACAAAGATTGAAAGAAAAATAATAAAATCAATAGAGAAAATCAATGAAACCAAGGGTGATTCTTTAAGAAGATCAACAAAATTAGCAAATCATTAGTTAAACTGACCAAGTTTAAAAAGTAATTACTAAAATCAAGAATACAAGAGAGGACGTTACTACTGACTTTACCTAATTCCTACTTTTACTGCAGTGCCTGAAATATAAAAGTCATTCTATAAATGTTTTTGCGAGAAGCCATTAAAGGTCTCCCAAGCAGAGGCATAAAAATGAGACAACACCATAATCAATAGAGGTGGCTACTAAATGCTTCTGTCATTGAGTAGAGAGTAAGTAGTGTTTACCAAAGTGTCTTTTGCATCAGACATGAATTAAGGCCCCACCTCATTCACTTACTCTCTGAACATTGGTTACAATGAGTATCACAATACTAACTCATATTGTTGTTTTATAGGTTAATTGAGGAGATGTGTGTAAAGCATTTAGCACAACAGTAAGTGCTAAAGCATAATTAGCACTCCATGCAGGATACATGCTACTACTGTTACCGTTGGCACTATAATTATCGTCCTGGAAGTTACTGTAGAAGGCAAATTAAAACCACATAATCACACTGTGTTCAGGTTACATGTAAAGAAAAATAGGAAACAATATATAAGGTGTCCCCTTTCTTTCCCACTCAAGTCAACATGAAGTTTTTATCATCACTCACATTTCATCAACTTTTTATTTAACTTCTCAGCATTCTTGGGTCATTATATGACTTTATATCTCTCCTTGTTTACTCACACATTTATTAATAAATTTTATTTCATGATATATTCCATTTGTAAAACACTGTCTTTTCTAATCAGTGCACAATGCTAAACTGCTAACCACTTGAGAGAACCTGAGAATTGAGTATCTTGGCACACTCCCAAGGTACGTGTGCCAAGAGAGTAAATTTTCACAGTGAAATTCATAAACAAACCATATGTTCTTTTAAACAATTTTTTAAAACTAAATTCCACTTATATGGACTGTTTCGTTATGACTTAGAAAGTATGGGTGGATAAATAGAGTGTCTAATTTTAATTATGAAATTTTGAATGTAAAATGCACTTTTCCATGAAAGTTATGTTATTAACGGTGATTGTATTTGTAAAATGGCTTACAGAGGGTGACACAGTAATGTCAGATGAATTGAGTTTGTTATTTTTCAATCAATCAGATAATTCCATTACACAATCAGAGCACAGCTGATATTGACCTAGTAAACCAGACCAAATCATAGACGTTTAAATAAATCTCACATCTAATTCATGATATTATGCATCCCTCTTTTCTAATTACAAAGATAATACAGGTTCATGTTTTAAGTTGTTTTTTTTTTTTTTTTTTTTTTTTTTTTTTTTTTTTTTTGAGACGGAGTCTCACTCTGTCACCCAGGCTGGAGTGCAGTGGCGCGATCTCGGCTCACTGCAACCTCTGCCTCCCAGGTTCAGGTGATTCTCCTGCCTCAGCCTCCCGAGTAGCTGGGACTACAGGCACGCACCACCATGCCCAGCTAATTTTTGTATTTTTAGTACAGACGGGGTTTCACCATGTTGGCCAGGATGGTCTCCATCTCTTGACGTCATCATCCACTTGCCTAGGCCTCCCAAAGTGCTGGGATTACAAGCGTGAGCCACCGCACCCAGCCACATGTTTTAATTTTTTATATAACTGAGATAATACTATATATATATAGTTTTGCAATTTGCTTTTCTTCACTTAATAGTATATCATAAGCATTTTTCGATATTATTAATTATTCTGGTACAACATATAAATATCTTTTAATCACTTCATTTACTATCATAGTCATTAATGTATTATTCGAGTACATATAAATTGTTGAAGATTTGTGTTGTCTACAGTTTTCCACTATTACAAGTAATTCTAAAATCACTTTTATCTTTTAAATGTCATGAATACTTAGTCTTTATTTATACATATTTTTAGGCAAATGCATAGTCTATGGTGTTATCAAAAGTTGTGCCTTGTCCTGAATCTTAAGCAATGTAGTAAATCTTATAGCCCCAAGGAAGAAAGACCAGGGTACTTTCCTAATCTGCCCTTAAATTGAACAGATGTGTCCTACTCCCCAGATGTCGGCCTCCTCACCTCTAAAAATGAGTGCCTTGCCCTTGGTCAAAAAGTGCTTCCTCATAGATACTGGAATAAAATGATTAAGAAAGGCTTGAACTCAAAGAAGAAAAGGGACTACCTGGACAGACACTTTGGTCTTTATCAATTTCACTTTTAGAAAAGCCAGTGTTCTCTCACCTCTAAAGAATAATGGTGGCTGGGCGCGGTGACTCATGCCTGTAATCCCAGCAATTTGGGAGGCCAAGGCGGGCAGATCACCTGAGGTCAGGAGTTCGAGACCAGCCTGATCAGCATGGTGAAACCCCATCTCTACTAAAAATACAAAAATCAGCCAGGCATAGTGGTGGGCACCTGTAATCCCAGCTACTCAGGAGGCTGAGGCAGGAGAATCACTTGAACCCGGGAAGCGGGGGTTGCAGTGAGCCGAGATCGCACTATTGCACTCCAGCCTGGGCAACAGAGTGAGACTCTGTCTCAAAAAAAAAAAAAAAAAAAAAAAAGGACATGGCAATGGGAGAAAGCAGCACAGGGAAGAGGAGGAAACAGTTCCAATGCCAGGTTAAGCAGAACAAATCTGAGAAAGTTTCAATAATGAAAGCAGAAAGTTTTGACAATGAAAGCAGAAGGGGAAGAAGAATAGAGATAAAAACAAAATGGAAGTTGCTCTATAGTGTGTTATTCTGGGTCCTCCCAGAAGTAGACAGTAAGAGGAATACATGAGTAAGAGATTTACTCGGGAAAAGCATGTGTGGAAAATGAGGAGAGAGCAAGGAAACCCTGAGAAAGTACTTAGACTGCAAGGTAGGTCTAATATTGAATAAAGGTAAAAGGGAGGAGGAAAAGAAAGAGGAGTGTTGGGTGCAGCATCTATTTAAGCGAGGCTATCAGGGAGTCCCTGGGCCAAAGTATTGCATCAGAGGAGTCCAGTGCCGTCCAGAAACAGGCCTGTAGTAGTATCCTTGCCACATTGAGTCATTGCCCGAGAACACCTACAGGAAGCATAGTCTTGACACAAATATAGTGGGGTTTCAAAGCACAGTGTCTGGAGCAATTGATCAATTAGGCTCCCTGCAGTTAAATATCTGAAAGGCTCATTTTCATGGCTGTCATACACTAGATACTCATGTATATACTAAATTCCAGAACAGAACCACTATTCTATTTTATAGTGATAAAATTACAAGCAGCACCCATGTTGGAAAATTTAAGAACTAAAAAATGGAGATAAAAGCCTAATATTTGAAAACTGTCAATAATGAAAATTACCCAAATAGCCATCCATTGATTCTTACAAACTTACTCTAGGAGCTTCTCTGCATCATAGTATCCAATTGGATGAACAGGAATACTTGGAAGACCAACAGCCTCTGCAATTCCACACCTATAAGCATATTCTGAAAAAAAAAAAATTGCTGTATTTCCAGTAAAAACTTAGTTTCATTCAAACGGTTCTCTATAAATTACATTAAATACATTCTAATTTCACATTTGCTAGAATTGCTAAAGTAAAACAGATTAACAATTCAAATGTAGCGAGAATGTGGAGCAACTGAAATCCTCATACAATGCTTGTGATAATTTAGGCTAAAATTATACAATCACTTAAGGTAACTCTTTTAAAAAGCAATGTCAAGCAGAAATGTGCACTATGGCACAGCAATTCCATTACTGGGTATTTACTCTAGAAAGATGAGCACATGCCCACAAGAAGACGTGTACAATATTGTTCAAAACAGCCATGTTTATATTAGCCAAATATTAGACAAAGTCCAGGTTTCTAACAGAAGAGTGAATAAACAATCCATAGTATAATCCCACAATGGAATGCTGCTCAATCAACAAAAGAAAAAAACTAATACATACAATATGATGGAAAATCTCAAATTTTCCATCATTGTAATAAGCAAGACTTTAAAAATAAATCTAATCATTTCTTTTCTTTTCTTTTCCTTTCCTTTTTTTCTTTTTTCTCTCTCTCTTTCTTTCTTTCTTTCTTTCTTTCTTTCTTTCTTTCTTTCTTTCTTTTCTTTCTTCTCTCTCTTTCTCTCTCTCTCTCTCGTTCTCTCATTCTTTGTTTCTTCTTGCTTTCTTGCCCAGGCTGAAGAGCAGTGGCTCAGTCTCAGCTGACTGCAACTTCAGGGTTCAAGAAATTCTCCTGCCCAGTCTCCTAAGTTTCTTGGATTGCAGGTATGTGCCACCACTCCTGGCTGATTTTTGTGTTTTTAGTAGAGACAGGGTTCCCCCATATTGGCCAGGCTGGTCTCCAACCTGATCTACCAGCCTTGGCATCCCAAAGTGCTGGGATTACAGGTGTGAGCCATCACACCTGGCCTCTCTGAGGTTCATTTTTCTATGCAAAAGAAAATGGAAGGATGAGGATGTAGTGCCCTGTGAGTTGTGCATGAACCCAACAATTTTACCTACAGATCCAAGAGCTCTCTTTGTGCCTCAGGTCTACTTTTGTCTTATACAAAATAAAGCCTGTTCTACTCTAGACAGAAGTTTATCACTGACTCACAACCTGAGTCAAATTTTGCTTTGGTCTTTGTTTCTCCAAGGCATAAGGTGAAATTTTAATCATACGTTTCCTAATTTCCTTCCTTCAGGAAAATGGTCTCAGACATCACACAAGCCTTCCAGAAAGAACCCATCTGCCTCTTCTGTCTGAACTAACTCGTAGACCCCATCACCACAGGCTGCGGCCCCAGCTTCTGTAGGCCCTGTCTCTGCCTTTCCCGGGAAGAAGCCAAAATTCCTCCTGGCTGCCCACATACGGGGAACTGTCACAGCAGGAGGACGTCAAAACCAATATTTTTCTGAAGAATCCAGTGTGCATTGCCATAAAAGCCAGTCTCTGGCAATTCCTGAGCTCTAATGAACAAATGTGTGGGATCCACAGGGAGAAAAAAAGATATTGGAGCGGTGGATAAGAGCCTGCTTCATTTGCTGTTCTGGAACACTCAGGAGCACGGGGCTCACACACACTGTGAGGGGCAACTAAGGAACACTGGGTAAGTGATGGCTCTCAGAGCACTTTGAAAGCTGGAGGATGGCACAGGTAAAGAGATTAGGGGGAAGATGAAGAGCATGAGGATTATTCTGTTCTGTACTGGATATCATGTAGTGCCTAGGTATCAATGATAGAAATTTAAATGGAATCTGTGAGAATACCTTCCTTCCTGGAACTTGCATTTCACTGAGGGAGTGATGAAGTTAATAATCATTATAATAATTTGACTATTTAGTTTAATGTTCAAGGCACTGTAAAGAGCTCAATATCAGAGAGAGTTTCTGGCTATCTAAACTACAAGTTCAAAAGCCTTCTATATAAGAAACCTCTTTACCAACACTGGAAATAATAGAATAAACTTTGCTAGAATTAGCAAGGCATGGTGTCAGTAGATTCCAATTCTGATGCAAGATGCCACATTATCTGTAAATTAGCCCTGCTTATGATTTTCCTATTATACTGGTTGCATTCCATGTTGTGGTTGTACAGTCTGAGATCTTCCCAAATCTCTTTCATATCTCATCCCTTGATTTCTTTATCAATGGGGGTCTGACAACCAAAGCCATTTGTTTCTCTATGTTCAAATTCATAATTCTTTTATAGGAGACGATAATGAAGCAAATGAGATCTTTTTGGGAAAAAATTCAAGAAAACCAAAGAAAGTTAAATGAGGAGAGCAGGAAAACCAACCAGTGGATTGTAAGTATTAGGCTTTTTCCCTCGGATTCAGCCTCAGACAGACATGCTACAAATGTATCCACTTACCACTTGAGTGGAAATCATCTTGGTTAGGATTTGAGGAAGGTTTTTTCTCATGGCTTCCAATCCTGAGGGTACAATGCAGCATTGATTACTGCTCAGAGAGAGTGGTCAGGCTATGGAGTAGGGAGGTTTAGTACTAAAGACTAATTTAAAAACTTAATACTGCAAAAAATTATCTGTGAATCACCATAAATTCCAATGACTCTCAGGTAGGTTGTCCGATATCAAAGGGTGTATATTGAAGAAATGATGAATCATAACCTTTCTTTGTGTGTTTTAGGAAGTCATATAATGAATAAACGTGGTTTAAGAAAAGAACGAATTTAGCTTCTAGTATTGTTAAGAAACAATAAAAATAAATGAAAGAAAGGGAGGAATGATTGATTTCATGGTTCTGAGAAGTGGGAAGACATGAGTTTATGTACATAGCTTATTCGTAGGATACATCAGTCAGTCTAGGCTCAGTGGCTCAAATTCGTAATTCCTATGATTTGGGACTGCTACCTCAGGAAAGGGTTTTAAAGACAAATTTCCCTTGAATGATTATTTGTTTTTCAATCCTGTGATAAAATATTTGGTATTAGAAAGCTCAATTGTATTTTCCTCTTTAAAGGAGTGAGTCAGAGCAGCGGCACATGCCCCAGTGTGTGAGCTCAGAGCTCAGTGCTCAACCCATCACTGGACTAATGGACAGATTTCATGACTTCCAGGTGAGTGTCAACCTGCTGAAGTGATGAGCACACAGTGCCCTTCAGGCATGGCTGGCTTGCTTTCTTTCTTTCTTTCTTTCTTTCTTTCTTTCTTTCTTTCTTTCTTTCTCTCTCTCTCCCTCTACGCACACCCTCTCTCCTCCCTCTCTCTCTCTCTCTTGCTCTGCCTCCCTCTCTCTCTCTTTCATCAACGCTAGAGGGCAATGGTGCAATCTCGGCTCACTGCAACTTCCACTTCCCAGGTTCAAGCGATTCTCCTGTCTCGGCCACCCAAGTAGCTGGAATAAAAGGCACCCACCATCATGCCCAGCTAATTTTTTTTTTTTTTTTTTGTATTTTGTAGAGCTGGGGTTTCTCCATGTTGTCCAGGCTGGTCTTGAACTCCTGACCTCAGGTGATTTGCCCGTCGTGACCTCCCAAAGTGCTGGGATTACAGGCATGAGCCACCACTCTTGGCCTCAGGCACGGTTTTACTACAGGCAATTTTTTATTCTTTATTAATCTTTCATCTAATAAAAGGGAACAGACTGTAAATAGCATTTATAAACATACTTAGTAATACACTTCTTATGATCATATGGAAAAAATAAATGAAAGCTGGTGTAATGGTAAACGTCATTCAGTTTCCTCTTGAGTCTGGGCCTTTTGGGTCTGGGTCCCTCTGTGCAGCCAAGTCAAGTCAGATGGAGAGAGATGGTCCACACCTGGCCAAATGGGTTCTACGCGAGCCTTCTGGGTCAACACTGCCTTTCAATAAAGACCTGGGCTGTGATGACTCCAGCCGTGTTCTCCACCACAGTGGGCGGAGTGCTCATCCTGGGTCCTTGGGCCATGGGAGACCCCATTATATATATTGAACAACATGCCATCAAAGCATTTCCCATCTGACACTGCCCGGGGCCCATAACAAGCTACAGCAGCATCATAACTTTGCCAGCACGAAGCTCGGTGTCCTTTCAGTTTATCCGTGTGCATGAGTAAACACACTTACACTCGCCTTCGCATACCCTCACACCATAGTGTACACTGTCCACAGTGGCACCGCCTGCTACTGAGGGCCGTGCCTTTTATCAAGTCTTATTTCAAGCTGGCTCAGCATGAGGAAATTGTGTATGCAACACTGACTTTCAACTGAGTCACTCAAAAATTAGTAAAATCATTTCAGGTAGTGTGTGTTTTTCTTTTTCCTGCTCTCAAAAACTACCTCCAGAGGAGTTTTTTTAGCCACTTATTGAAAATGTTAATGAAGCTTCCTGTGAGTGCAGGGACACAGAAACCAGCAGTTGATTTAAGTCATTCCAACGCATAAGCAAGTTCCAAATGCAGTGAGAGGTGAGGAGGGGAAGACGCAAAGGGTGCCTTGGGAAGAACTGCCTTTGCGGGAAGCCCTTGGTGGCTCCCAGCATGCCCACTGTGATGGCATTCACCCCACTGCAGTCGTCGTCATCAAGGTGACTTCGTTGTTTCAGAAGGATCTGTTGTGGTCAGGGTTCCACCTGTCATTCCCTAGACCATGGCCCTCCAGGCAGTTCTAGGCAGGTCCCAGCAAAAAGTACTGGGGTAGAAACCAAGGACCAGGCCTACAGAAACAGGGACCCCAGGGGCTTCCAAGGGGGAGTGCTGACTGCCAGGTGCAGAATCCATAGAACTACCCACCATGGGAGCCAGAGGGACCTGTGCAAATCCCTGGGGAGTGTGTTAGAATTTCCCCAAATACTGTAAAAGAGAAAAGTGCTCACACTTTATCACGTGAAACACTAATGATGTCTAGGAGCTGACACAGAACAGGAGGACTCTGACCACCACAGGACCAGAGAGATGTGTCAGGACAGAAATGAGCAAGCTTGAGTCTCCGGGCACACCTGGGGAAAGAATAATGCAAGGCACACATCAGGGCTGTGACTCACACCTCAAAGCAGGCTTGGGTCCCCAGGGTAAGAGTGAAGAGACAGCATTCCCACATCATGTAGTGTGGATGGCAGGGCTGCAGGGGATGTAGTCCTTTCGCCAGTGGACTGCCAGAGACCTGGCAGCCAGACCCACTTCTTAGTGAAGGCACATTCATTTCCTCTCTGGGATGCATTTCATCATATTCACTTTGTAGCCATGATTCTTCCTGACAGCCTGAAACAGCAGGCTTTGCATCCTTTTCAGGCCTGGGGTCTGGCCTTACCCCAGGGGCTTCTGTTTCACCCACAACAGACTCGCCTCCACACTGGAGACCTTGTCACTGCTGACAGCAGGGAGAGAAGAAGACAGAGGGGTCCAGCACGGCCCTCCTGCATTCATAAATCCTGCTTTCCAACGAACATCACGAACTCCCTGTCTCCTGCTCCCAGGAGGAGCCTCGGGTCTCAGGAGTGGTCAATGCTGAGATGACAAAGGTATTGAAATTCTGATCTCCATAGTCCTGAGGTCTCTAGTGTTGCCAGGAGACTGTCAGGAGGAGATCCAGAAGAAAGAGGCACAGGATGTTTCACACTGCTTTTCCCAAGTGCAGCCAAGGGACAGCCTCTGCACACCGAGGTAATTCTAGATGATTGGCTCCACGCTCTTCCCTCCTGCTTTCTAGTGAGTTTAGTGCTGGCTGACTGTAGAACACTTTATTCGGAGAAGCCAGTAGAAAAAAATGTCACTCTTAATTCACATGCTCCAATGTCAGACCAGGAGTGACCGGTTCTGGAGGGAAGTGCCAGGACTGGCTCATTTGTGTTCACATCAGCCACCTCCATGCACATGGAGGTGGATTTCACTGGTGTTGATACATGCTTTCACATCCACAAGAGGCTCTCCGAGGGACAGAAGTGACTTCACACCCACCGCAAAGCCATTTCTGCTGCCAGAGTCCCCAATCTCCAATCACCAAAAAAATTCTCCATCAAGGGGCAAGCTCCACCTATCTCACTTGTAATGAGTAGCATCGCCATTGTCTGAGAAATAATTATTCTGTCCAGTTTAAGCTTAATTTTCACAAACACTAAAAAGTAGTAATATAGACTTTAGCTTTTCCTTTAACTGTATTTATATATAAATCCCTGAGAAGGTAGCTGTCAACTTGAAATTCACTATCTACAGTTAATTAACTTCAGGGTTCAGGGAGGGATCCTGAGCCCCATCCCTATGCATAGCAGGGGCTGGTCTGTCATTGCAAGAGGGCAAGCCTGGTCTCCCTCCTGAGCAAAGAGGAGGGGGTGGGAGGGGCACGGTGGTGTAGGAATTCTTAGCCCCCAGCACACCTGCTGGCAGGCCTGCTGTTCACTCACTCTGGGGGCCTGGAGGTCCCACCATGATAACACCACATTGCCTCACAGAGGCCCCTGCTTTTCTGTTCTGGGTAGACCTCAGGGTAGGTGGTGCCAGGGATGATAAAAAACTTAACCAACTGGGAGAAGAAAACAGGTAAAGGAAGGAAGGATGAATGAGGAAGAAGAGATGAGGCAACAGGGGAGGGAGAACATGGTGATAAAGCCAGTGGGTACAGTGTGGTGGCAACTGACAGAAGAGGAGAAGGGGGTCCATGCTCATCAGTTCCCTCCTTCCTGAACAACATGAGGGGTGCAGGGAGGGCGAGCCCTCAGTGAGTGAATGCAGAAGTTCAAAGAAACAAAAACAGACAAAAATAATAAATGTTCTCCTAGGACACCAGGTTTTTAGAGAGGCCACTGTGAGACCTGTGAATGTCCGATGCCCAATAGTGCTGAGTGGGTAAGTGACAAGAAGCCTGCAACCCCCAGCCCTGTGCACCTCCTGAGACCGAGGAGCCTGTGTCACCAGTACCTAGGGCTAGAAGAAAGGGCTTCCAAATGGCTCAGGAAGACGAGTGGGCATTTCACTCCACCTCTGGGACCAGATGACCACACCTCCCCCGAGGAATCCCTTACCCAAAATAACTGAACATAATAATGTTGCTTGAATATAAACTGGTTCATCTGATCACCCCGACACTGACCCCAGGACATCCCCCTCATGGTGGCACCAGTTCCCCATCATCTAGACTTTTCTCCCTGTCCTCCCACACTCCCTGAGCCTGGCTGGAGGCCTGCTTGTCCCCTCTGCTGCCCACTCCAAAAGATAATAAGAAACCAAGAGCCTGGGCTCGCCAAGGTGGAGGAAAGAGGTTTGGTGACACTTCCTTTGACTTGGAAAATTCCTCTACTAGCAAATCTGATTCCACATGGCAAAAATGAGAAGTGCTGGGCCAGTAGCCAGGCACACAGCTGCAGAAGCTACCTGGACCTGCCTCATGGGCCAAAGGGAAGGGCTGCCCACAGGCAAGTCACGTCTAGAGTGAGCCCAGAGAGACCAGGGAGAGTCTGGGATCCAATCAGGGATGACCCTTCTTTCAGTTGGGTCTGGTGGGTTTTCAAAATCCAGTCTTTCCACTGGGGCCATACCAAAGCTGCAGGGGAGGTCAGGCTTCCCAGTCCCACCAGAACCCCTCCGTGAAGTTGTGATTTTCTCTCAAGTTGCATACACTGGCCAGGTAAAGGCAGCTTCTACTCACCAGGCAAGTGGCCAGCTCACCTTCAGATTTGCCAAAGCAATCTGGGTCCTGCCCCATATTTGCTGGCTTGGCAGGCTTTTCAAAATGCAGGTATCTCTGGAGCTGTTTTGTGGACACCAGGAGCATTACTTGACAAGCCCTGTGCTGGCCCCAGGGTACCCTGTGCACCTGATTAAGGCTGGAACACATTAGGAACAGGGACCCATCATGCCCACTCCGGAACAGCGTGGGACCTGGGGAAATTGCCAGTTGTTTGCTGTCCTACTGTTGCTGTTCTACACATCCCTTGAGACTATGAGCTTCGGTTACAGTGTGGTAATGGCTGGTCAGGACTAGAAATGTCCATTGTTGACCTGGAAGCAGCAGACACCCAAGGCTTAGTGTAGAAGTGGGTGCTCCATACCATTCCCAGTGTCAACTTCCCATGGCGGAAACAGGAAGGAATGTCTGGCAACCCACCAAGGGTCAGATGCCACATCAGCCCGAGCGAAGCTGCCAGACACTGGCTGTTCCAATGACAATTAGACATTCTTGGGAAGGTGGAGCCATTCGTGAGAGCTCAGGATGGGTGTCCTGGAAGTGCCACTTAAAGGCGACTGAGGCCTCTCAAAATCCCTGTGTTAGAGCTGCAGCTCTCCATGTGGGCTGCAGTGCAGTCACCTATGGAGCTTTAGGACAGGCCCAGGGCTCAGCTCCCTGGACCAGTGCCTTCAGAACTTTTGCAGCAGGGATAGCCGGCTTGGAAAGTCATGCCTGGGAGACCATGTGACACTGCCTGGCTGGGTCCTGGGCTGACAGAGGTGAGCGTGGAGCTTGCGGTGACTTGGTAATGCTGTGAATTATGTACACGTGGCAGGAAGGTGCCACAATGCCAAGGCCCCACGTCTTGGAAATTCCATGAGGTCCGCATGAGGTTGAACTAAACACCAAGTGCAGCCCTCAAAGGAAAAATAAAAGAAATACCCACATAAGGGACTCTTTGGAACTGAGTCTGCAAGAGAGGGCTGTCTGGTCCACTCCAGGAGAATTTGCCTAAAATAAGTTTGCTTCCCACTGCATTCTCTGTGCTTGTTCTAAACATCACCTCCCCCCATTCCTTTAATTTGCATCTTACTCTTGTTGCATCCTTTTTTTACATTTGAAGGATATCTGGATTCGATTTACTTAAGAGCATATACGGCTTAATTTTGTATTTCTGGTAATCATCTATTACATTTCCCCCATTTTATCAAATGACACTTTTCCCTCATATCTATTTTAAATATGTTAAAGATTTTGTATCCAGTTTATCTAAAACTCCTTGATTAAAATGAGTTTAATTCTAGCAATACATACATGCTTATCTCGGCATTGTTTCATAATTTGATGATAAATGTTTTTCCCCAATATATGACTGTATGGATAATACTTTTTAAAAAGATACAATAAAATATGATATCATCTCTTTCTCACTTGATCATGTGGCTGAATGAGTCAATCCCTCCATCAAACAGAAATATCCAGCATCACTTAATCTAATTAATAAAAACATCCAGTGTGCATGTGCACCCACAATGAGAAGAAAAGACCAAAACAAACAGCCAAAAAGGAGAGAATCCCATGATTTCTGTGTAAACTCCTACAGATACCATAAATATTTATTGCTAGAAACAGTATTTCAAATACAATGTCTTCGGGCAAGTGTATTAAAACTGCCTTGGATACAAGGGGCCCTATCACTTGTAAAACTTGGCAAACCGGATAACAATTAAAAATACAAAATCACACAGAAAATACTCTTTAATAAATTGAGGTTTTTTTGATTGAGACGGAGTTTGGCTCTTGTTGCCCAGGCCAGAGTGCAATGGCGCGATCTTGGCTCCCTGCCACCTCTGCCTCCTGGGTTCCAGCGATTCTCCTGCCTCAGCCTCCAGAGTAGCTGGGATTACAGGCATGTGCCACCATGCTCGGCTAATTTTGTATTTTTAGTAGAGACGGGGTTTCTCCATGTTGGTCAGGCTACTCTCAGACTCCCAACCTCGGGTGATCCACCCGCCTCGGCCTCCCAAAGTGCTGGGATTACAGGCGTGAGCCACCGCACCCGGCCTAATAAATTGATCTTTAAAAACATCTTAATTGAGGTTCTCTAAAGGGAGCCTTTTAGGCAACATGCCCGCTAGGTGTACTGATTGCTAGGGTGGCTGGTGTCAGGCGAATCGATGTGGCTCCCCCAGCCCCTTCCTGGGAGCATTCTAGAAAGACAGCGTGGAAACGCACGCGGCCTGGTGGTCCCGGGAGCGGCCATGGTGTCCAGCCCCGCGGCCTCACCTTGCCCTCGAACCCCGTGTCAAGCACCCGCGGATTCTCACGTCCTCTTCTTCCACGGCGGCAGGCGCTTCTCCTGCACCTTGGCCTGGCGCTTCTTCTCGGCCTCCTCAGCCTCCGGTTTCTCCTCCGTGGCCACCTTGTACGGCCACTTGGGTGTCCGCAGGTGGCGGGTGTCCGCAGGTGGCCACTGTCCTTGGTGCTGCCCTTCGGCACCGGCCTCTGGCGCTGGAAGGTGGGCGCGGGCGCCTTGCTGAGGCGGATCGGGGCACCACCACGCCGGGCCGCAAGCTGCTCCGCCGCAGGCGCTGCAGGGGCAGGAGGCTGGCCTTCCGCGGGGCGGGGTCGGCAGAGCCCCAGGACCCCGGCAAAGGGGCAGGTGGGAGGCCAGCTCTTGGGGAGCCCTGCCGGGAGCCCGCGGCCTCTGGGCAGGGCCACTTGTGCTGCTCTGCGCCCTCCGCTTCGCCCGCCTCCTGCGCCTGCCTCCCCACCCCCACGCCGCGTCACCAGAATTTCCTGAGCCGCCAGGATTTCCTGCACCGCCAGCAGCCTCTTCCCCAGGCACAGGGAGTTCTGGAGGCACACGGTCTGGCAAGGGAGGGCCACGGCGGGGCTTTCAGAGGCTGGTGGTCATCCTGACCATGTGGTCCAGGGCGCCCCGGTCCTCCGGGCCACACAGGGAGCGCAGCGTCAGCGCGGACAGCTCGCAGTCCCTGACCATCTGCAGGCAAGTTCTTCGAGCCCTCGGGCTTCCGCGCCCTCTCGTAGAGCGGAGGCAGCTCAAGCTGGTACTTTTTCCCCAACGGCTCCTGGCAGGGGCGCTCCAGGAGCCTCTGCTTGAGGCGGACGTGTAAGTGACCACTCCTCTGGCGACATCCCACGGCGGGGGCCCTCGCGTGGATAACCGCCCCTGCTAGCTCAGGGCTCGGTTGCGATCGGTTCCACCCTGCGTGGCGGCTTTCAACCCAAACGCGTCCATCCTTCAAGGTCAAGACCCAGGACATAGTTCAACAAGTAGTTGGTGATGATAGCGTGCCCTGACTGGGCCAGAACAGCCTCTTTAGTAAAACAGCTCAGGAAAGTCATGAAACAGATGCTCAGCTCCGTTCTTCATTTCCACTTTAATTCCGTGATGCCTGTGTGTCCGTCTGACGACATCTCTCCTGGGGTCTGGGACTCTGCTGGTCTTCCATGCCTACTGAGAAGGGTTCCTGGCCATCATCAGGCAGGAAAACCTCAAAGCCCTCCGTCCTCAACGTGGGATCCCTGGGCCAGCGGCATCAGCCTCACCAGGAAACCTGTTCTTCTGCTCATTCTTGGGCCCCACCCCAGCCCTATTCAAAGAAAGACTCCAGGGACAGGGCTCGGCAGCCTGTGTTTCCACCAGATCTGTGTGAAAGCTCAAATGAACCAGCCCAGGTGATGCTGACGCAGGAAGTGCAAGGCTGAGAGCCAGTGTCTAAGGCAACTGTGCCCATGGGGCCAGGGGCAGCTCCTGCCTGTGCAGCTATGATTTGGGTTGCGTTCCCCTCCCTGTCCTGCCAGTTGTCTTCAATGTGGGGGCACTCAGCTAAGGCCACCACGGTATATCCACAAAGCCATGGTAGCAGGCGACATTAAGGCCGGTCTAGCCATTGTGGTCAGTCTCCTGCGCCTTCTCAACGCTCACCCCCCGCCGCACCAACGTCTGCAGCAGCCCCATGCCTCCAGGACGCCCTCGTCCAGAACGCCCTTCTCCAGGACGCTCTCCACACCCTTGACGCCGTGCTCCTCCTCCTCCTGGAAAGGGTAGAAAGAGTGGTCCCAGGCGATGTTGTGGGTGTCGGGCAGACTGGAGAAGTCCTGGAACTCTTTGTAGTCAGCGCGGTCCTCCTTGACCTGTGTGCCTAGGAGTGGGGACGGCGGTGGCGGGGTCATGCAGCGCGCCCCGCCACCCTGCGGCTGGGTCCCAGCCAGCAGCACCACGCTGGGGGCCGGAGGCGTGGGCGGGGGGCCGAGGCTCTGTCCGGGAAAGTCTGGTGCGCGCCAAGGTCTCTGCTTCTTGCTTCTGCGTCCCCAGGGAAGCCCTAGCTCCCGCCCCCAGCCCGGTGGAAACCTCCCTTCTTTTACATTATTGTTTGTTTTTATTTTAATTTTTTAGGACATTGATAAAATCACTTTCTGATTTTTGAGATTAAAAATTAAATAATTTTCAAGTTTACCCTTTTAAAAATTTTTCACTATTTTCATGCTTTTATTTTTTGTATATTTTAATTATTGTAATTTATATCTTCAATTATTACGGAAGATTTTAGAAAAGTCTTTTCACATAATAAAGTCTAATTAATTAACTATTATTTATTCTCTCCTCTATCTCAAATACGTACTTTAACCTTTTAGAACACTTTATGTTTTGAGACTCTTGTGACTTATGTGACATTTTAACTATTATTCTTCACTCTTCTAGTGAATTTTTAATGTCATTCAAAGGGTACATCTTTCTATAGTGAGAATTAAACAGTTCTCAAAAATATTCTCAAGTATTAGGAATTTCACCTTCCAATGGTATGTTAAGTATGTTCTCCTTCCCTTCTAATGCATATTCCCCACCCCACGCCCCCTGCTAATTTTGTATTTGAAGTAAAGACAAAGTTTTACCATGTTGAACAGGCCAGTCTTGAACTCTTGACCTCAAGTGATCCACCTGCCTAGGCCTCCCAAAATGCTGGGATTACAAAAACAGCAACTAAATGCTGGAATGGTGACTGGGAACTTGTCTAGAGTCTCCATGGATTATCCTCCTCATAACAAGGCCGAAAGCCTTCCTCAGAATTATCTGGACTGACATTACTCATTGTCCAGACCTGTTAAGAGACTCCTGCAACCAGAGCTGTGAGTCTCAAATGTGCTCTTCAGTAATGCAGTAGAAGGCCTGAGTTTCCACATAGCGGTATCCTTGAATGCCTGGAGAATTTTGAGGCATAAGAACGTACTGATCCTACGAACTATATGTTTTGTAAAATCTCAGGTTATGTGAGGTGTTTGGACAAATTAAGTTTCAGGGTGATATCCACTATTGAGACAGAAAATTAGTCTAAAGAATTAAGACCTGAAAGTCCAGAATGAGAAAAAATTGTTTTGCTTAGAGCCTCCTTATAATTGTCTTACTTGTTTTGTAGATATAAGCACTAGAGGACAAGCTCTACCTGATATAGCTGGCCTAGACATATGCAGATTTATTAATTGTAGAAGAAAGAATTATACCTTTCAGGTAAAATGGCTACAAAAAATAATTAGCTGCTGTTTTTGAGACAAGTTCTCACTCTGTCACCCAGGCTGGCGTGCAGTGGCACAATCAGAACTCACTGCAGTTTTATACTCCTGGACTCAAGCAATCCTCCCAACTCAGCCTCCTGAGAAGCTGGGACAACAGGTGCACACCACCACTCAAGGCTAATTTTCTGTTTATTTTCTGGTAGAGGTAATGTCTTACTCTATTGCCCAGGCTGATCTCAAACTCCTGGCCTCCATTGATTTTTCTGCCTTGGCCTGCCAAAGCACTGGGATTATAAGTACGGCCACTGAAACCAGCTTTAGATCAATTTCATTTAATACAGATAGCTTCCCAGCTAAAAATATGTTATGAGAATTCTCTTAATTCAGCAAAGCAATGTTATTACTGACCCAGTCTTCACTTATTTTCAGCTTACATGCAGGAACAAAATTACCTTTATTTTTAAATTTGTTTTATTGTATATTTTCAAGGTGCACAATATGTCGTTTTGAGATACACGTGCATAAGGAAATGATTACTATAATGAAGAAAATTAACAAATCGATCATATCACTTAGCTCTGCTTCTTTTTGATGATAAGAACACCAAAAATCTAGTCCCTCAGAATATTTCCCAAAAACAATACAAGATTATCTAATATACCTACAGGTTGTACATCAGATTCATTTATTCTACATTACTGCACCTTTACAACTTTTGCCCTTCATTTACCTATTTTCTTCCCACCAATGTAACCACCTTTTTGAATGTATTAAACTTATAAAAATAAATTTCAAATATGAGTGGGACCATGAAGTATTTTTCTCTGTGTGTCTGTCTTATTTCACTTAGGAAACCTGCCATTTACATGTCTCCTAAATTTAGTACAGATATAAAGTGCTAGTCAAGAATGTGTCTCTGTTTGGTTAGATTATTTTTTTTCCAAGTTATCCTCTTTATCAATTTTTACTTTTTGTACTGTAGAAGAGTGAAAATTCTTGTATTAAAAAAAACTGTAACCAGGCTATTGATAAATAACTTCTTTTAGGGATAAAAATCTCAGGAAGTTCAAGATTTACATATTAATGATTGACAACGTTCTTAGTGGTCTCTCTTTGATTTATTTCAATTGTGAGTAAGTCTTGGTGATATTCTAACATAAATTCTGACAGGTGAAGAGAATAAATAAAGTAAGTATCTCTAGGAGAATCAACACAATAAGATTATCTTGGTTAAATGGCTAAGAAAATATGGTAAATAGACTCAAAAACTGCTGCATCTTCCAAAATCAGAGTCAAACACTAAGTGATCGTAAAGTAGCTAATTCTGTCTTTCTGCCAAAGTGAATCTGAGCTAAATTAGAAGAATGTCAGGAATAAATTTTTCCTTGAAATCTAGCAAGAAATAATGTAATTAAATGATGAGGCTTTGACTGTTGCATAGAGTTTTAGCATCAATAGAAAAGCTCACAAAACATAGGTGAAAATCAAAAAGGAGTGCTAGGTTGGAGCCCTAAAGTGAGTAATTTTATCATCTCAGATCACTTGGAAAAAAGCAGCTAGTCCAAAAGAAGCTGGTGATAAGCTTTCTCTCTGCTAACCCCTAATGTTCTGCATGAAATATGTGGAGGCAGAAGAGAGACAGTTTATTATAGTCTATGTGGCATAGAGTGAAGGAATAAGAGAATATTTCTGATAAGTATTTTCAAAATTTGGAGAATCATTCCTATCCAAATCGTTCATTTAAGGGACTAAAATACAAATAAGATGTTTCTTGCCACATAACCCTCAGCTAGCCAGGCTCTAAAAATGACAACGCTGGACACCTCGACAGTGGTAAAAAGCAGGGTTTACTCACTCTTGAATAACTAAGAACTGGTGCTGACCTTAGGCAGCAGCTTATCTGTTTGGTTGAGGTTCAGCTTTGTTTCATTGAACAAATCTCTTGGGTTATTTTCAGTTGTGCCAGTCATTTAATTTGTTTTCTGAATCAAATGATAAGAATAAATATGGTTTAGAGTGTAAACAGCATTCCCAGATACATTACAACTTGGTATCCCATCTGCCTAATTTTGAACCTATGGGACGGGAATAAAAGCATTGTGAGAAACACCAGGTGATTTCCTTAAAGCCAAATACTCTTGTCCCTCCTACTTTTTTCCAGCTTTCCTGCTGCATGGGACACGGCAATAAATGGGAGTTTCCTGCACACAGAGGTAAAATTCACTTGTTGAAGATGTCAGTCTTCTTCTTGGCCAACTCCTATATTGGCACAAACATGTTGGAGAAATGCACCTACTGAATCATTTCTAAGTCAATAATCTATTTTGGGTTGTTTAACATGTATAAAATAGTGAGTGATTCATTTACATTTAGGTTAATTTGAGGACATGGCAAGATCAGAAGTTTTGGGAATCTAGGCTCACATTAACATTATTTTGAGGTCCACTCATTTGGGTAATAGGTCCTGGGAGAGATGACTGAGTAGGTTATTTGAAGTTACCACAGAGCATAGACTCCCTGGGCCTCTTCTCCCTTCACTTCTGGAGAGAATGTCTTCAAGACTCAGACTTTACCAGGACATTAATTAATGACAAAATGACTAACTGGGTTTTTCATTACAGAAGAAATAGAAAATGCTTTCCAGATGGTAGGGAAATAATATCTTTAGAAACTGACTCCAAATTTCACACTGAACTTGGTGAAAGATGCATCTAGTGAAATGTACTACATATTTCTATTATTTTTTTACAGGGTTTTGGAGACATATTACACAGGTGAGTGTTTACCTAGATTTTAGCATATATTCTTTCAGTTTCCATGAATATCAAAGCAGGCTCTACCAAAGTCATGGCATAAATGATTCAGATATTGATACTACCTTTTTTTTGCATCTGCTTTACTCTCACACCAGAAAACACAAGAACACTAAATAAAAACATACATACCAACATACATAGTGAAATAAAAAAAAAAAGTTTATTCCTGATTCTGTTTTATTGCTTTAAAGCCTGCATAGGTGAAAGATAAAGTTTTGTTTTGTGGATGGTGAGAAAGTCACCAGAGGAAGCAGGAGAGAAGTGGAGGAAGTATTTTAGCAGTGAAAAAGTTGATGATTTGTTGTTCATACCTACATACATATCAGTTAACACTCCTGGAAAACAGGTTGAAAAAACTGTGGAGTGTTAGAACTGTATAAGTCTCTAGGGAAGCTTGTTTCTAAAAGGCACGTCTAGCTGCCTGGAACAAGTTTCACATTCTTTATCTTGAAAAGTATGCAGCAGATGCAGCAGTCTCCCCAGAACCCCGCTATTTCAGACAAAGAGGTCAGGGGAGTCTGCCAAGAAGTTTAACTCAGAATTTCATTTCCAAATATTCTCAAGGCCATAAGGCTAAGGAACCTTACACATGTGGGGCAGAAAAAAAGAAAGATCAGACTGAATTCTGACTCAGGCTCTCCCACTATGCTTTAAAATTTGGAAACTGTAAATAGAAATTAATTCCAAAAAGGAAGGAATAATTTTTGAATAATCAAATTTGTGGATTCAGAGGATTCTCATGAACTGTCTTTTAAACAGAAATAGTGATTTTTATTTATTTTATGGCTGTAGATGTTGTAACTGCAGGTTTTTCCTTCCAGGAGTGAGTCCGTGCTACTGCACATGTCCCAGCCTCTGAATCTAGAGCTCAGTGCAGGGCCCATCACTGGACTGAGGGACAGGCTCATCTAATTCTGAGGTAAGTCTGCACCCATAGGCAGCTATCCCACTATCTAAATATTATTACTGTTAGGACCACATAGGTAATATTTCACCCTTTATCAAATATTTCACTTCTTTATAGACATAAGTGAACAACATAATCATGCAACCCTTTTGTATATGTGTCTGTGTAGTCAGATTTATAGCATTAAGTTTGAAAGATAGTGAAAACCAAATACATTTCGGCCTCATATGTACTGAGTAATGTAATGGGAAAAAGAGGTAGTGTAGCAAATTTTAAAAAGGAGCAAATGGAACAATGCTCAGAATGAAGGTGAGTTGTTTATGTGAAATACAAAATTTTACATTTCCTTAGTGTAATTCATTTGAACAGCTAAGAACTGTTCTTTTGGGGATTATGGTTTACTGGGGATTGCTGGGGGTTTTTAATTTTTTAAATGGATATGTATCATGAATTGCAAAAAAATTAGTTAATGGGTAATCATAAAAAGAAGAAATCATTTTGTGAATACAAGTAAAATTACAAAGAAAAAGAAGTTCAGTTTAATTGCAATATGAAAGGCGACAGGTTAAGTTTAAAATCCAGCTTCAGCCCCACGCTAGCATGGAGGACCACAGAGAGACTGGTAAAAGATTTACCAGAAATCTGCTTTAAATTGTCACTTATGACATGTACTTATGGATTTTTATCCAGTCATCAAGAGCAGTTCTGGAGTAACTGAAAATCTTCACATTCTTTCCAAAATGATAGCACTAGTTTTTAAGAATAAGAAACATTTCTAAATAATGATCTTGATAACAGCATACTATTTAGGGCATACAATGTGCAAATTTTGCTTTGAAAATTGGATTGAAAGAAGTTGGTCTTACATTTGGCTCTCAATATGTAAGTTTTCAAAACATTTTTAATACCTGTGGTTAGTGTTTTGTTTGTCTTGTAGTTAAAATTAATCATCTCTATGCTTTATTAGAGGTTACAAGCAAAATTGTCCTTGTGACTTTACATTTCCTGGTAAATTAACTTCTTGATAGAACAATTTTTGCTTATTGACACATGTCTATGTATGTTTTGTTTCTTTCTCTTTTATTTATTTATTTATTTTCACAGTGGATATTACTCTGAATCATGATGAGCCAACAGTCATATCTTTCGATGTGGAGATTTGAGAAGCATGTGCATTGGATGTGACCGTCAAAATCCGCCCCATATCATTGCAACACCTACAAGTTTTCTTTCATGATGTGCTCAGATTTTCACCTCCGGCAAATATTACTGGGAGGTCCATTTGGGGGACTCTTGGAATTGGGCTTTTGGTGTCTGTAATAAGTGCTGGAAAGGGAAGAATCAGAATGACAATATACATGGAGAGGAGGGACTCTTTAGTCTTGGATATGTCAAGAATGACATTCAGTGCAGTTTCTTTACCACCTCCTCACTTACACTGCAATATATCCCAAGACCTACCAGCCTCATAGGATTATTCCTGGATTGTGAAGCTAGAACTGTGAGCTTCGTTGATGTTAATCAAAGCTTCCCTATATACACCATCCCTAATTGCTCCTTCTCACCTCCTCTCAGGCCTATCTTTCGGTGTATTCACCTCTGACCAGAGATCAATCAGAAATGTGTTCATCTGCTGTGAGAACCCCTTTATTCCAGGAAGCCCTCTTCCTTGTGCCTTATCAAACAGGACAAATAGGTTCTGTTTTATGTCTTCAATTGCCTCCTAATGTTATTGAAACTCATTTATTGTGTTACTATTAAAAGTGGTAAAAACACTGAAAGTGTATGTATTGGTTCTTTATTAATTTTTGAAAAATCATTATTCATGATCATGGCATACAACATATTCTGTTTTTTTTTCTTTATTTCTGACTGCCACTGAGTGAAATAATAAATGACAGACATGTCTGAATGGAGTTAAAATCAATGGAAGAGAGTCGGGATCTTTTGCTTCATGCAAAAGCTTGGAGTGAAGTCTTAATGATAGCTGGGAAATGTTTTTCTTTCTCTTTACCTTACTATATTGCACTTATCCATCACATTTCATTTTACTAATCTATCCTTTGAGTTAATATTATTTGACCTTCCATGCTGGGCTTCATTTTGGAATTCTCACCACATAGATAAATAATCCTGCATTATTAGTGTGCTCTTCTACATTGAAATACACAAGGTGGTCAGAACAATGCTGGATTAGTTGAATTTTAAAAAATAACTAAATATTGACTCCTACCTCAAAACACACACAGTCATTTCCAAATAGATTCAAGTCCTGAAGGTAAGGGGAACATGATACAATATTTGTCAGGCCTCTGAGCCCAGGCCAGGCCATTGCATCCCCTGTGACTTGCACGTATACATCCAGATGGCCTAAAGTAACTGAAGATCCACAAAAGAAGTAAAAACAGCCTTAACTGATGACATTCCACCACTGTGATTTGTTCCTGCGCCAACCTAACTGATAAATGTACTTTGTAATCTCCCCCACCCTTAAGAAGGTACTTTGTAGTCTCCCCCACCCTTAAGAAGGTTCTTTGTAATTCTCCCCACCCTTGAGAATGTACTTTGTGAGATCCACCCCTGCCCACCAGAGAACAACCCCTTTGACTGTAATTTTCCATTACCTTCCCAAATCCTATAAAATGGCCCCACCCCTATCTCCCGTTGCTGACTCGCTTTTCGGACTCAGCCCACCTGCACCCAGGTGAAATAAACAACCATGTTGCTCACACTAAGCCTGTTTGGTGGTCTCTTTGCACAGATGCACATGAAAATATTCTCATAAGGATTTCTTAACCGGGACAAAAATCAACAATTAAAAAAATTAGTTGGTTTATATTAATGACGACTTCTGTGTTTCAAAAAACATGATACAAGAGTTGAAATGCAAACAATTAGTGGAGGAAGATATTCACCCGAACATATACAAAATAAAATGCAATACATGTGCATGATGAATACTTAAAATGTATTTTAAGTATTTTTCCAGATTCTTCCAGAGTGGCATAGAATAAACTTGGATGGCAGAGTCAATGATGAGATTAGCTGTGGAAATGGGAAACCATTTTTTGGAGGACAGTAGTAATGCTGTGAACTTATGAAAACAACCAAGTATGCAGTAGCAACTAAAATGTGTCTCCATAAGATTATTTTACAGATGCGTATCTGAAATCTGAAATTTGGGAGAACATTCTATTAGTGTTCTCTAGTGAAAAAATAGAGCTGGAAGGAAGAAGTGAGGGAAGATGAAGGAGAGAGAAACAGAGTGCATTTGAGAGAAAATGCTATTTAGACTAAAATCGAATACTGCGGATACCATGACAAGGTGGTTAAGGTGTGTCTTATGGAGCAGAAATGGCAGAAAATACCACAGTAAAGAGATTTACCATTGGATTGTTAGTTCTGGCTTTCATTCTGTCAATGTTGTGGCTTCTAAACACATCAGTAATCTCCTTTGATCCATGTGCTAATTAACAACCAACACTCTGCCCCCTCTCCCAGATTCTTTCATCGTTTTAAACCTAATCTAATTCTAATCCAGCTGGTCACTGTAACACATGTAATCACCTAAGAATTTTAAAAATAGTTTTGATGAATAAATGAAAAATTAGCTAGGTGCAATGGCATAAACCTCTAGTCTCTTTTACTTTGAAAGCTAAAGTGGGAGGATTACTTGAGCCCTGGAATTCAAGGCTGCAGTGAGCTAAGATTGTGCCACTGCACTCCAGAGGGTGAAACTTTCTTTGGTATAAATAAATAAATGTGCACTTGGAGGAATGCTTGTGCCTTGGGAAGAAACTCAAGAAACAGTATTAATCAATTTTAGTTAATTTCTAGCATACGTTTACTCTGATAAGACTGATGATAGATATGCCTCATTCAGGCAGTGGTTTTTACAATGATAGTGTGATGCTAATTTAATCAGTGATGAAAAGGCGTGTACTAAATATTGCAGAAATCTAATCATCTCTGTCTCCACCTTTCTTAATACCCTAAATATCACTAAAGAGGTGGGTGTGGTCTTCAAAGGTTCACATAAAAGGATGTAGAAGAGACAAGCTCATATTTCTCCAGAGGAGGACAGCACTTAGAGTTAACTGCATTCAGGTGACCTCTGAAAGTCAACTCTGCAGGGAACGAGGTCCTGATCTTGGGGAGTACTTAAAAGAATTTTCTCTTGGAAGAATCACTGCCAGAAACATTCATAGAACCTTGGGGTGAGTGCAACGTTTATGGAGAAAATTATTTCTCTCTTCCTTTAAAATAGTAAATTACCGTGACAAAAATATCTAACTGTCTAAACTTACTTAATGATCTTATTTTTAACTCATATTATTGCTATTCTTTTTATGACATGAGGTTTTTAATTGTTATTTTGTGTGTTCCAAAAGTGTTTAATATATTTTTGAAAAATTTTAGATATCTAGTGTTTGCTGCAATAGATATGTATGCATCATGAATATATGGAATTCACATTAAAACATATATATGTGTACTGCATGTACTAATATTGGTACACTTAATTAAGTAAAAAAGGATAATTATTGAATACTGTAAATGTTGTGCTTTCATAACCTGAAGCTTTTAGACAGGATTTAAAGTTACTGAGGCAATGACGAGTTAAAAATGGTGATACTAAAGAAATAAGAATGCTCTCCAAAATATCCTAGCTTAGAAATCAAAACACAATTGTTTAGCAGATAACTGCATAAGGAATAACTTGATACTTGATACCAGTTGTCATTTTAATTGAGGCTTACCTCACGTGAAACTATGAACAATTCCTTGAAATGGCTTAGATGACTTCTGAAAAATATTTGCAATTCTTAAATTTTCACTGTTGGCACTTAAATTCAGCAGTGTTTAGTAAAAAAGAGTAAGGTAAAGGACTTCAAACTGCCAAGGCAAAGATTACAGTTTGTATTGGTCAGGGTTCTCCAGAGAGACAGAACCATAGGATGTGTACATAACTATATATATGTATATATACCCAAAATACTTACAATTGTGGTACAATTGCCGATCGTATACCATACAGGTTTGTAGCCTAGGAACAATATGCTATACTGTATACCATAGGTGTGTAGTAGGCTATACCATCGAGGTTTGTGTAAGTATACCCTATGATGTTCAAACAATAATGAGACTGTCTAATGTGTCCCTCAGATCATATATCTGTTCTCACTCTACACATGACACTTTACAGGAGAGGAAGTCCACTAGGGAAATTTGTTCCCTTGATTATGGAGTCTGAGAAGTTGAACATAGGCTGTCATTAAGGTAGTGTCCTGGAGATACCAATATCCTGGCTGAGTTAGAATCAGCTTCAGGAGAAAGAGAGGAAACTGCCTTCTCTCTGCCCTTTAGATTCAGTCTGAGCTACCAGCTGATTGGATAGTGTCCACCCACATTGAGGGCTGCTGTTCCCCACTCAGCTCACCAACTTACATGTCTCTCTGGAAACACCTTCACAGACTCACCCAGAAATAATGCTTTACCAGTTCTCCATGTATTATTTAATCCAGTCAAGTCAACACCTAAAATTAACCATAATACCATTGTAATATAATTACATTTCAGTTTTTAGAAAACTGACTATATGTCAGTTCATAGATTGAGTAGCCCAAAGAAGAAGTTAATTTAAGCCGTAAGAAAAATAAACCCAATATTTTTCATTATTTATTTTATCTCCTAGTGATCCCAGCTTGGTTTAATTGCTGCCTTTTTGTTTATCTGGTCGGTTGGTTTGTTCTGGGGTTGTTTTTGTTTTAAAGAGCCGGCTTCTGGGTCCCTCTCTCTAAAAATATGTCACAGCGCCCTCTGACCGTCTTCCCATGTTTTGTTACCCAACGTAGGTTTTCTACTCCTCTCCCATAGTCATTCAGTAGTTATTTGAAAGAGAAATAGGGACAAGCATGTTTTATTCTAGACCACTTAAGATTAAAACCCGACTTTCATATCGACATCCAGGGAATAGGTTTTTGAAAAGATTTGCATTATGTTATGGGCAGGAATTAGGAGTAGAAGAGGTTGTGTGTCATCTAGTCAGTAGTGTCTGCTAAAAAGCCTAAAGACTCTCTTTGTGTATGAATTTTTCATTTTTGTTACAGAGGAAATAGTTTGTTCTGCTTTAATGAGCACTGTCAAGAAGAAAATATAGCTATCACATATCACCACATGTTCACAGATTTTCACCAAGCCAGACCCCAAAATGACATGCTGCTCTTTCTTCTTCAGAAACATGAATTCTGGAATCTCGCAAGTATTCCAGAGGGCACTCACCTGTCCCATCTACATGAACTACTTCCTAGACCCAGTCACCATAGACTGTGGGCACAGCTTTTGCCGGTCCTGTTTGTACCTCAACTGGCAAGACATGGCAGTTCCTGCCCAGTGCTCTAAATGCAAGAAGACAACACGGCAGAGAAACCTCAACACTGACATTTGTTTGAAGAACATGGCTTCCATTGCCAGAAAAGCCAGCCTCCGGCAATTCCTTAGCTCTGAGGAGCAAATATGTGGGATGCACAGACACAAAAAGAAGGTGTTCTGTGAAGTGGACAAGAGCCTGCTCTGTTTTCTGTGCTCCAACTCTCAGGAGCACCGAGATCACAGACACTGTCCCATTGAGTTGGCTGCTGAGGAATACCGGGTAAGCGATGCCTCTGAAGATCTATTTCTATACAGGACACATGAAATTCTTGTAAGTCTCTTTCCTTGGAGATTGGATGATGCCATCTCTGTGTCCCTTTAAGCATGTCCGTTATGAGCTTCCTTGACTTCACACCTCTCAGATTTGACAAACATGAGGAGAAACAAAGCAAACTCTCTTTTCTGTGGGCTAATTTGTCTCTCATTTTGGGTCCTTCGTATATCAGAGTGTGAATGATACTTTATTGTCCTCACTTGTGCTTCAGTTCATGGCTGTTTTGCAGGAGGAGCTCCTAAAAAAAAATGCAGTGCTTATGGGAAAAAGCTTGTGAAAATCTCAGAAACCAGAACATGGAAACCACCAGAACCAGATGCTGGAAGTTTAGTACCGTATTACTCCACCTTTTCTGGGAACTTATAGCGAACAAATGGGTGACTCTTAAAATAGAAACTTGATCTCAACCCACAATGTTTCTGGAATTCAATAAACAAGGAAAAAACACTTGAGAAAAACACACCCTAATTTTTTATATAAGTTAGTGTGACTCTTTGGTAGGATTTCTAATCAGACCACAGATGTTACCCAAGCATGCTCATCTGTTTCCATACAAACCTATAGCAATACCCCCAACAAATACAAGAAACTGAGCCATTTCACATGCTTCCCAATGGGCTGCCTGGATAAATTCTGGACACAAGAGTTATTTGTCAGTCATGGAAATTTCAGGTGACCCTTCTAAGGCTGAGTCAGTATGAATTTGAATCCTGGTGGGCAAGCATATTGAAATGTGAGCTAAATTTTAGGCAGAAGGAGCAAGAGTGCAACCTTAGGGAAAGCATGAAATTAAATATCAGCACTAATTAAAATTGAATAAGTCATAACACATAATGGGAAAAGTGGCAAGAAATGTAGACTTGTGTCTTGATGAAGACAGAAATATCTGAGAAATATGGGAACTAGTATTTAATATAAGGAGAACTCTAAGGACTTGAGAAGAATTCTAGAAATGATTTTCTCTTTGTGGATGTTTATATTGAGGGTATGATATCTAATATTAATTCATTAATTTACTCTAATATTAATTCATTGAAAGATATTTTATGAGTACCTAGTCTATGTCAAATATCAACTTAGAAAGTTAAGGAGTAAAGAAGAAAGAAAACACACAAATCTTGCAATGGAAATGAGAAAAGCAAATGGTCACCATGCAGATATGTGAAGTACATGATGTGTTAGAGTGTAGTAGTGTCTTTGGAGAATAATCAAGCAGGAAAGTAGAAAAGGAGCACAGAGGCCAGGGACTGGGGATGAGGGTTTGAGTTTTAAATAGGGTGGTTAGAAAAAAGGCTCATGGAAAAATTCACACTGAAACAAAATCTTGATCAGGAGGAAATATATATATCCTCCTGTTTGCCTTTCTCTTCCTCATAAATATATGAATATATATGTGTACCTGGGTGTTGGTATATATACATATATATGGATATATTTGAGGAATATATATATACACACACAGATACACGTATATATTCCTCATATATCCATATATACCTATATTTGAGAAATATATATATGAGTACATATATGAGAAACATGTATTTATATATATATGAAAATAATTCTAGGCATAGAAAACAGCATGTGCAGTAATATTTAATTTGCATTTATTTGGGGGTTTGAGGAACCACCAAGAAGCCCATGTTGCCGATTAGGGTGAGTTTGGAAGAGGATAAATGAAACCTTATTAGAATATGTGATGCTGGGTGAAATGCATTGAGTTGACAATGCTAGTCTGGGTCATGTCATCATTTGTCATATAATGGTTTTACATAACTTGCCCCAATTCTCCAAAATAGAAATAATGGTTTCTTACCTAGTCAATATAACTAATAGTTTGATTCTTAAGCAAGAACTGTGTTTTCTTTCTATAAATGTGGTGTGGAAGAGAGAAATCCATTTTTATATAACTATCTTAGAAAACATTTTATCATTAATCAAGTAAATGTAACTGGGCAGAAACAACTATGTGATATTAGTACAGAAAAAAAGGAAAGGAATAAAATTTTGTGGAATCTGAGAATTGACAAGATTGAGGATTAAAATATTGGGTGTTCAGAATGCTAAGAGGAATCAGTGAAATTCAAGAGAAGGTGGATAAAACATTTCTATTTTGACTAATTGTCACTGCAGGATTATGTGAGTTTAAGGATAGAAGCAATCAGAGCTGAATATCAGAAGATGCTTGCATTTCTCCGTGAAGAAGAGCAACATCACTTGGAGAGGCTGCGAAAGGAGGGCGAGGATATTTTTCAGCAACTCAATGAAAGCAAAGCCAGAATGGAACATTCCAGGGAGCTTTTAAGAGGAATGTATGAGGATCTGAAGCAAATGTGCCATAAAGCAGATGTGGAGCTACTCCAGGTACGGACTGACCGTGGGGTATCATGATGTTGAAGATTCACGTGCATGGATGTTTTTCCTCTCTCCTGAAATCCGTCTCCCCCTTTACTTCCATGATTTGTTTCCAAAAACACGATTCGATAGCTAATAGCTACTTGGTTGGGAGGGTATAGCCTCTCCTAGTAATTCTACCAGACCGAACGTCCCTCTTACTTTATCCACCAGCAACAACACTTTGCGGAATGGCCAAGGTAACAGACAGCCCCAAGAAATATTTCCCATCAAAAGTCAGTGATTTATTTAGGATTTTTGAACGTGGATAAAATGAGAAGTGATTCATTGGCATTTAGGCTAATTTGGAGACATGGCATGATGGAGAAGTTGGGGAATCTAGGATCACACTAATATTATTTTGTGGTCCACTCATTTTGGTAACAGGGCTTAGGGTAGATGACTGAGTAGCTTCTTTATGGTTACAGCAGAGCATGGACTCTGTGGGCCTCCTCTCCCTTCACTTGTAAAGAGAATGTCTGCAAGACTTAGACTTTATCAGGACATTAATTCGTGACATATGATAGACTGGGATTTTCATGAGAAAAGAAACAGAAAATGCTTTCCAGGAGGGAACATTGTAGGAAAATAATATCTTCAGAAACTGTCTCCGTATCTCACAATGAACTTAGTTGAAGGTGCGTCTTATGGAAAGCACTAAGCCTATTTTTTTTTTTTTACAGTCTTTTGGAAACATATTACAAAGGTGAGTGCATACCAAGATTTTTGCAGATGCTTTTAGTTTCCACAAATATCAAGCAGGAACTTTGATATTGAAGGTAAAATTGATTCAGATATTGATACTACCTTGTGCTGGTTGTACTTTCTCCATCCCCCACCCCATGTAGTCATCTATTTTGTTGCCATACTCAGTGATTTTATTAAGCAGCTCAATGAAAGTTGTGCAAAACCAAAAATAAATAAATAAATAAATAAGAAAGAGAAAAAAAATAAATCAATGAAAGAAAATAAAGGAAGTGAGCATCTCTATTCCTAGTTTCCTTTTTATTGCTCAAAAGCCTTCATATTTGAAAGAGAAAATATCACATTTACTACATGGCTACAAAGTCAACCAGGGGAAGCCAGAGAGAAAAGGGGAAAGTATTTTAGCAGCAAAAATTGTTGATGATTTCTAGTTTATATTTCAATATATAATTCTGAAAAATAGATGAAACAAACTATTCGGAATGTTTGAATCATGTGGGCCTCCAGAGAACCTCAATTATAAAAGGCAGATCTCCCTGCCTGGAGCACGTTTCAACACCCTGGCCTTGAGAAGGAAGCAACAGATGCAGCAGTCTTAAAAATAACCCCACTTTTCCAGACAGTGATTTCAGGAATTTCTGGTGAGGTCTGGAACCCAGAATTTCATTTTTGAATATTCTCCCAGTCTTAAGACTAATGATCCTTACTAATTTGGAGCAATACAAAGAAAGATCCGAATGAATTCTCAGTCAGAGAGACTTTACCATCGTGCTTGAAAATCAGGAACTGTGAATAAGAATGAATTTGAAAAAGAAAATGATAATTTTGGAATTAGCAAATGTGTGGGTTAAAGGGCTTCTCATGAAATGTCTTTTAAATGAAAATGGTGATTTTTATGTATTTTTTTTGGCTGTAGATGTGGTAGCTGTATCTTTCTCCTTGCAGGTATGAGTCCCTGCTGCTGCAAGTGTCTGAGCCTGTGAATCCAGAGCTCAGTGCAGGGCCCATCACTGGACTTCTGGACAGGCTCAGTGGATTCAGAGGTAAGTGTCAGCCCGTCGGCAGAATTCCCACAGTGTATTACTTCTTGTTAGAATCATGGGGGTAATATTTTACCCTTCATCAAATCTTTATTTCATTTCAGCAGGAAGTGAACCATATGATGATGCAATCCTTTTATATCTGTTTCTTTTTATAGTCCAATTTATAACCTGAAGAGTAAAACATAGTGAAAAACAAATATGTTCTGGGCTCACATGGATAGACTTATATTGGGTAAATGGAATGACATAAGAAATAAAAAATTGAATAAATGGAACAATGCTCAGAAGGAAGCATAATAATCCAAGGCTACATAAAAATTTTACATTTCTTTACTGTATTTCCTTTGAATTGTTAAACACATTTCATTGGGGGATAGAGTTCACTGCAGTTTGTTGGAGTATTTGTACTTTCTTACAATAAATATATATTATTGATGTAATGTAAAATTTTGACTTAACAGGTAAAAAGAAAGAAGAAATTATTATGTAAATAGGAAGTAAAAATGGAAATTTCAGTTTAGTTACAACACGAAGAGCTACGTGTGAAATGTAAAATTCGGTACCGGTCTAGAGCTAGCAGTGATGTCCGCAAAGTGACTGGTAAAAGATTTTGCATAAATCGGCCTTAAGTTATCACTTGTAATTTGAACATATGGACTTTTATCCAGTTATCTAGAGTGGTGCTTGAGTAAGCTAAAATCTTCCCCTTTTGCCAAAATTATATCCCTAGTATTTAAGAACAAGAAATATTTTAATAATAATGACCTTGATAGCTAAAGGGCATTCAGGGCATAAAGTATTTCACTGTTACATTGGAGATTGGATTAAAGCAGGCTGGTCTTATATTCCACTCTCAATTTTTAAGTTTTCAATGTCTGTTTTTAGGGTTTTGTTCTTCCTATAGAGAATAATAAGCATCCTTATACTTTATTAAATGTTGTAGCCACAATTCTCCTGTCCTTGTAACTTCCAATTTCTTGGTAAAGTAAACTCTTGGTAGAACAACTTTTCCCTCAAGAATTCTAATTTCTATTAATTACATGTATCTATATTTTTAAAAAATTATTTTTGCAGTTGATTTTACTCTGCGGCTTGAAAGAGCTAATAGTCATATCTTCCTGTATGGAGATTTGAGAAGCATGAATGTTGGATGTGACCCTCAAGATGATCCCGATATCACTGCAAAATCTGAATGTTTTCTTGTATGGGGGACTCAGGCTTTCACATCTGGCAAATATTATTGGGAGGTGCACGTGGGGGATTCTTGGAATTGGGCTTTTGGTGTCTGTAACAATTATTGGAAAGAGAAGAGACAGAATGACAAGATAGATGGAGAGGAGGGACTCTTTCTTCTTGGATGTGTTAAGGAGGACACTCACTGCAGTCTCTTTACCACCACCCCACTTGTGGTGCAATATGTTCCAAAACCTACCAGCACAGTAGGATTATTCCTGGATTGTGAAGGTAGAATCATGAGCTTTGTTGATGTTGATCAAAGTTTCCTGATATACATCATCCCTAATTGCTCCTTCTCACCTCCTCTCAGGCCTATCTTTTGCTGTAGTCACTTCTGACCAGAGAAAAGTCAGAAATGGGTCTATATGCTCTGGGAACCTGTTTAGCTAAGAAAGCCTTTTTTTCGCACCTCATCAAACAGGATAAATAAGTTATATTTAATGTCTTTAGTTGCATTCTAATGTCATCAAAACTCATTTATAGTGTTTCTATTAAATATGGTGAAAACACTGCAACCATGTGTATTGGTTCCTTTTTAAATCATTTTTGGAAAATCATCACCCATGATTTATGGCATAGAATATATTCTCTGGTTTTTAATTATTTCTGAATGTCACAAAGTAAAATAATAGAGGAAAGAGTTGTCTAAATGAAGTTAAAATCAATGGAAGAAAGTAGAGATCTTGGGATTCATGAAAAATTTGGAGTAAAAAGACTCAGTGGTAACCTGGAAATATTTTCTTTCTCTTCATCTAACAATATTATACTTCTTGATGTGTTTTATTTATGAAACTATCCTTTGAGGTAATCTTATTTGACCTCTTATGCTGTGCTTATCTTTGTAAATCTCATCTTATATTCAAAATACTCGTGCATGATCAGAGTGATGTCCTACAGTGAAATTTACAAGGGGATCAGGACAATGCTGGATCAATTTAATATTCAAATGGACAAAACTGAATACTGACCCCTACCTCAAACCATACACAGTGCATTTCCACATGGATTCATGTTCTGAAGGTGAAGGGAACACAATAAAATATTCTCACACAGAAAGATTTCCTAACCAGGACAAAAAAGGAACAATTAAGAAGAAAAATGTAGTTACTTTATATCAAAAATGATGACTTCTGTGTTTCAAAATATACCATCCAAGAATTAAAATGCAAACCAAGAGTGGAGAAAAATATTTATCCCAACATATATGCAATAAAATATAATACATGTGATTAATGAAGGTAATAAATAAAAGAAAATGAAACCAATATAAAATTGGGAAAATATTTGAACAGGCACTTCATAAAATTGGAGGCATAAATATCTGGACAAATATGAAAAAGGGATTACTTGTATTAGTCCTCAGAATAATAAAAATTAATCCATAAGTTGAACCACAGGCCTCCATAAAAAGTAGCAAAATGTAAAAACACATAATATTGTGTGTTGTGAAAGATAAAGAATCAATGATGAAACTTATTCATGGCTGGAGGGATACAAACTGAAATACTTTTTGGCAAACTGACTATGAGCATTCCTTATGGGCTACATATTCTCATTCTAAAATATATTCCACAGCCTGCCTATGTGTATTTCAAGATAAACACAATGTTGATCGTTGCAGCAATTTTTATAGTAGCTCCAAATTGGAGACAAAATAAATATTCATCAACAGTAGAATTGCTAAATAAATTGTGATCTCATTGTACAAAATAATTTTACAAAACAGAGATAACACCGAAATGCAACAAATTAATGAATCTCAAAGAGAAGTTTAAGAAAAGAATTGAAACACACAAATGTTATATTACAGTGTTTTATTTAGATAAATTGTGAACTCCATTAACTCATGCTAGAAGTTAGAATATTGAATAATGTTTTGGAAGGTAATGGTTAGGAAACTTGAAAATTAACCAGGATAAGATACAGGAAGCATTGAAATCAATGAGAGAAACTATAAGCATTTTTCATGCAGAAGAGAATTATATATATATATATATATATATATATATATATATATATATATATATACACACACACACACATATATATACATGGTATTTTCATGTATAAAATAAGAAGTTTGAAATAAATGAATTTGTTGTTTTGCCTAATTTTTCAAATGCATATGTATATACTTTATGATAATTTAACATCAACATTAAGACATAAACCTTTTTTTATTATCATACTTTAAGTTCTGGGGTACATGTGCAGAACGTTCAGGTTTGTTACATAGGTATACATACACCATGGTGGTTTACTGCACCCATCAACCCGTCATCTACATTAGGTAGTTATCCCAGTGATATCCCTCCCCTGGACCCCCACCCCAGACAGGCCCCAGTGTGTGGTGTTCTCCTCCCTGTGTACATGTGTTCTCATTGTTCAACTCCCACTTATGAGTGAGAACATACGGTGTTTGGTTTTCTGTTGTTATGTTAGTTTGCTGAGAATGATGGTTTGCAGCTTCATCCATGTCCCTACAAAGGACATGAACTCATCCTTTTTATGGCTACATAGTATTCCACGGTGTATATGTGCCACATACATTTGTTTTACAGTCTGTGAAGAGATTCAGAGAATATCACATTTTAAGACCTGTATTTACCTCCCCGTCTCCCCTGTGTAACAAAACCTAAAAGTACAAAGGGAAATATATGGAATGCCATCGCCCTTGAGATGCTGGTAAAACTAATTGAACTTTGGAAAGGGGAAAAGAAAAAAGAGGAAAAAAATATGTGGAGGATTTAGACCTACATCTGAAGGTTGGACAGGATCATTAAGAAGGTTCCAACCATGAAGACCCAGAAACAGTGTCAACCTGTGACTGAGCTTCATCAGAATCTCAGAGAATGCATCTCCATCCTCATCACCACCCCAACTAGGCAAAAAATTGTTGAGTAACAGGTCAAAGCAGTGCGTTCTGGGGGACTGAGCGGAATTTGGAGGGAAACTTAAAGTTGAGGATACAGCAGATACTGAGGAAAGCTGCTGAACCAGTCCAATCCGAAAAACAAAGTAATGCTAGATAAGCAGGAAACCTATGGTGCACTGGAATCAACTCTAAGAAGAACAAGTCTCAAAACCAAATCAACTCCTGACTAGATTGATTCAACCTTCTCCCTCAAAACACACACATACAGGCTAGAAAAAGGGAACACATGCCGGTTTTGCTTTCTATATTAGTCTACTCTACATAGTTCACTTTTTGAGTAAAACTTACCAGACATATACAGAAACAGAAAAGATACATAAAGGACACAGTGTTAAGAGAAAAAGTAATTAATAAAGCCAGATTCAAATGTGGCAGAGGTGTTAGAATTATCTTTCAAGTAGATCTCATGGGTACTGTTCTAGAAGTCCTTAGTAGGGTATAAAGCCTCTTTTTTTTATTATATTTATGTGACAAGATCTTCCTTTTATCCTCTTATGTAAAAGATATTTCCAATCCATATTCATCTCTGTATTGCCAGTCACATTTTTTGACACTTTACAAATATTAGTCCACTGTCTTATACTTACATTTATGATTATGTAGAAGTCTGTTGTCATTCTATTAAGTGTTCCCTCAAAATGAAACAGTTTATTCTGGCTGCTTTTAAGAGATTCTTCATCTTTGGTGGTGGTTTCAAGCTTAAACACATTATAATGAATCAGCCAACAAAGACAGAGAAATACTAAATATCAGCCAAAATATATTGTTTTACACATTCAAAACAAAGTAAATTTATGTTTTATACATCCAAAATGGGGATTGTTTGGCTTCCTGAATTCCATTCATTTGCTTACTCTGAAAAAATTATCAAACATTATACCCTTGAATATGTACTCTCCTCATCTTCTCTACTTAGCTCTACTGTGTGCTACAGTCAATCACACATTATGCTGTTTATAAAGGACATACATGATACTCTCATCCTCCTTATGTCACTATCACTCTCCTAGTTTACCTCTGTTTGTCCATCTGTGAAGCCTTCATGACATATCTTTATATCTATTATCCAATTCACACTTTCTGCAGCTTCATTTCACTTGCTAAACAGTTTTCACTAAACAGCAAATTTTACTTATTTCACTTTTACCAATATAAATTAGAATTTATATGATAAAAGAATTTCTTAAATGATTGCCAAATGTGAAAAAATTCATGTATGTATTATATATATTTACATGTGTATCTGTCATATAGACGTACACAAAATTGCTATTGGTAACAGCAGTTTTCATAGCAGTCTATAACTACTGAAGATTTTATTTTTCCTAAAAGATATAATATTTCCTTAAAGATATTCTGTTTCTTAATTTGTAATAAAGATAATTCTTATGCTTTTATTGACAACATAAATTAATAGGCTGGGTGCAGTGGCTCATGTCTGTAATTTTGGCTCTGTGAGAAAATGAGGCTAAAGAATCACTTGAGCCTAGCAGTTTAAGGCTGCTGTGAGCTGTGATTGCACCACCACACTCCAGCCTAGGCTACAGAACCAGAATATATATATAAATATATATGTGTGTGTGTGTGTGTATATACACATAATATATATAAAATACATATAATATATAATATATATAATATATTATATATGTATAAAAATATAATATATAAAAGATATTATATATATATAAATTGACAGTAATACATTAAAACCTGAAATCAAGCTTCAAAGGCAACAGCAGAGTGCATTTCCAGTCTAGTTCAGTGACTATTAGAATTAAAGCCAACTTCAGGCAAAACATTTCCAAAAACAGAAAAAAATAAAGCAAAAAGAAAAGGGAGAAAAACTATTCCAGACTTTTGAAGACATTTCTTAAAATCATAAATTGATGGTATCCTCTTTCTCATCTTTTGATGAGTAAAATATTAAAGAACTCCAAAAATTATCTACAAGTTTGGTATTTGAGGGTTCATTTGTTGTAAACTCAGTGGTTCTTGATAAAAGGAAGTTTAAAGTTTGTTTAGGGAGATTAGCCAAGGTGTTGAATCCATCATTTCCTCTCTTCTGGTGAAACCTAATCAAAAACCCTAATGGCTATCCCAAACTCCAAGAAATGGACAACCTGTTTGAAATGGGTGTGATTTTTCAGAGATTCAATATAAAGAGGTACAAGTAGCCAAGCTCATTCTTTTCTGGGACACACAGAGTGGCTTTTGAACTGGCTGTGAAGATGTCTGAAAGCTACTACCACTATATGATGAGGCCCTGATCCCTGACCAGACTTTATAGTACTACTTCTACAGCAAGATTCAGTGAGACCATAAGTATATTTCTGGGTGAGAACACAACTAACAGAGGAGGAGTTCCTGCTACTTTTCCAATCCAAAACAGACTGCACTATGTTTAATTTTTCAATAAACTGAACTTGTTTCTATAAGTGATGTCATTTGCTTACTTAGTAAAAACGTTTTTACTCTGATTTTGTCATCCTGTCTTCCTACATACTTGTGAAACACAGTGAAGATTAATTTTACTTGTATCATTTATGTATTCCTTACTTGTTCCTATGTATTCTAAGAACACAGAAAATAGTTTTCAGATATCTTGCAATTTCATACTTGTTGTATATCCTAAATTTTATTGAGAATATTTTATTTTATATGTTGTACATAAATGTAATACCCTCTGTTCTAAAGTTGGCACATAAATATATGCACAAGACAGAATATTCTATAATATACAACTTAGGTAATATGTTGAATAATTTGAGGATAATATTGTTTTAGAGTATACTAAATGTCTCTTCAGCATTTCTGGGTGAAAACTGATCAAATCTCACAATGTTCAGTAAATAAATAATGGTTATTTAGAAATCATTTTGCAGTGGTGGATTGTGATTGAGAATTTTCAAAATACTTTAAAGGAGAAAATTATGACATCTAAATGAAACAATGAGAGTAAAATTGCAGTTAAATACCATTTCCTCAAACAATCACGTTTTTTCTTTTTACGGAATCAATCTTTTCTAATCCAATCACAATGAGCATTAAGAATGGTTTACAGAGCATTCAGGACCCATCATCTAATGGTATAAATTGGTCCTAATCTCATACTCTGAAACCTGAAGTTTTTGGAGTAAAATCAAAACTCAAAAAAACTGAGGTTTCTTTTCTTTGCTTTTCTCTTCTTTTCTTTTCTTTTCTTTTCTTTGTTTCCTTCCTCCTTATTTCTCTCTCTTTCTCTCTCTCTCTCTCGTTCTCTCACTCTTTCATTCTTCCTTTCTTCTTGCTTTCTTGCCCAGGCTGAAGAGCAGTGGCTCAATCTCAGCTGACCGCAACTTCAGGGTTCACGCAATTCTCCTGCCCAGTCTCCTAAGTTTCTTGGATTACAGGTATGTGCCACCACTCCTGGCTGACTTTTGTGTTTTTAGTAGAGACAGGGTTCCCCATATTGGCCAGGCTGGCCTCCAGCCAGATCTACCAGCCCTGGCATCCCAAAGTGCTGGGATTACAGGTGTGAGCCATCACATATGGCCTCTCTGAGGTTCATTTTTCTATGCAAAAGAAAATGGTAGGAAGAAGATGTAGTGCCCTGTGAGTTGTGCATGAACCCAACAATTTTACCTACAGATCCAAGAGCTCTCTTTGTGCCTTAGGTTCTATTTTTGTCTTATACAAAATAAAGCCTGTTCTACTCTGGACAGAAGTTTATCACTGAGTCACAACCTGAGTCAAATTTTGCTTTGGTCTTTGTTTCTCCAAGGCATAAGATGAAGTTTTAATCATATGTTTCCTAATTTCCTTCCTTCAGGAAAATGGTCTCAGACATCACACAAGCCTTCCAGAAAGAACCCATCTGCCTCTTCTGTCTGAACTAACTCATAGACCCCATCACCACAGGCTGCGGCCCCAGCTTCTGTAGGCCTTTCCTGTCTCTGCCTTTCCTGGGAAGAAGCCAAAATTCCTACCGGCTGCCCACATGCGGGGAACTGTCACAGCAGGAGGACGTCAAAACTAATATTCTTCTGGAGATTCCAGTGTTCATTGCCATAAAAGCCAGTCTCTGGCAATTCCTGAGCTCTAATGAACAAATGTGTGGGATCCACAGGGAGAAAAAAAGATATTGGAGCGGTGGATAAGAGCCTGCTTCATTTGCTGTTCTGGAACACTCGGGAACACTGGGCTCCCAGACACTGTGAGGGGCAACTAAGGAACACTGGGTAAGTGATGGCTCTCAGAGCACTTTGAAAGCTGGAGGATGGCACAGGTAAAGAGATTAGGGGGAAGATGAAGAGCATGAGGATTATTCTGTTCTGTACTGGATATCATGTAGTGCCTAGGTATCAATGATAGAAATTTAAATGGAATCTGTGAGAATACCTTCCTTCCTGGAACTTGCATTTCACTGAGGGAGTGATGGAAGTTAATAATCATTATAATAATTTGACTACTTAGCTTAATGTTCAAGGCACGTAAAGAGCTCAATATCAGAGAGAGTTTCTGGCTATCTAAACTACAAGTTCAAAAGCCTTCTATATAAGAAACCTATTTACCAACACTGGAAATAATAGAATAAAATATGCTAGAATTAGCAAGGTTTGGTGTCAGTAGATTCCAATTCTGATGCAAGATGCCACATTATCTGTAAATTAGCCCTGCTTATGATTTTCTTATTGTACTGGTTGCATTCCATGTTGTGGTTCTACAGTCTGAGATCTTCCCAAATCTCTTTCATATCTCATCTCTTGATTTCTTTATCAGTGGGTGTCTGACACCCAAAGCCATTTGTTTCTCTGATGTTCAAATTCATAGTTCTTTTATAGGAGACGATAATGAAGCAAATGAGATCTTTTTGGGAAAAAATTCAAGAAAACCAAAGAAAGCTAAATGAGGAGAGCAGGAAAACCAACCAGTGGATTGTAAGTATTAGGCTTTTTCTCTCGGATTCAGCCTCAGACAGACATGCTACAAATGTATCCACTTACCACTTGAGTGGAAATCATCTTGGTTAGGATTTGAGGAAGGTTTTTTCTCATGGCTTCCAATCCTGAGGGTACAATGCAGCATTGACTACTGCTCAGAGAGAGTGGTCAGGCTATGGAGTAGGGAGGTTTAGTACTAAAGACTAATTTAAAAACTTAATACTGCAAAAAATTATCTGTGAATCACCATAAATTCCAATGACTCTCAGGTAGGTTGTCCGACATCAAAGGGTGTATATTGAAGAAATGATGAATCATAACCTTTCTTCGTGTGTTTTAGGAAGTCATTTAATGAATAAAAGTGGTTTAAGAAAAGAATGAATTTGGCTTCTAGTATTGTTAGGAAACAATAAAAATAAATGAAAGAAAGGGAGGAATGATTGATTTCATGGTTCTGAGAAGTGGGAAGACATGAGTTTATGTATATAGCTTATTGGTAGGATACATCAGTCAGTCTAGGCTCAGTGGCTCAAGTTCGTAATCCCTATGATTTGGGACTGCTACATCAGGAAAGGGTTCCAAAGATGAATTTCCCTTGAATGATTATTTGTTTTTCAATCCTGTGATGAAATATTTGGTATTAGAAAGCTGAATTGTATTTTCCTCTTTAAAGGAGTGAGTCAGAGCAGCGGCACATGCCCCAGTGTGTGAGCTCAGAGCTCAGTGCTCAACCCATCACTGGACTAATGGACAGATTTCATGACTTCCAGGTGAGTGTCAACCTGTTGAAGTGATGACCACACACTGCCCTTCAGGCATGGCTGGCTGGCTGGCTTGTTTGCTTGCTTGCTTTCTGTCTTTCTTTCTTTCTCTCTCTCTCTCCCTCTATGCACACCCTCTCTCCTCCCTCTCTCTCTCTCTCTTGCTCTCCCTCCCTCTCTCTCTCTTTCATCAACGCTAGAGGGCAATGGTACAATCTCGGTTCATTGCAACCTCCACCTCCCAGGTTCAAGCAATTCTCCTGTCTCAGCCACCCAAGTAGCTGGAATAACAGGCACCCACCATCATTCCCAGCTAATTATTTTATTTTTATTTTTATTTTTATTTTTGTATTTTGTAGAGCTGGGGTTTCTCCATGTTGTCCAGGCTGGTCTTGAACTCGTGACCTCAGGTGATCTGCCTGTCGTGGCCTCCCAAAGTGCTGGGATTACAGGCATGAGCCACCACTCTTGGCCTCATGCATGGTTTACTACAGCCAATTTTTTGTTCTTTATTAATCTTTCATCTAATAAAAGGGAACAGACTGTAAATAGCATTTATAAACATACTTAGTAATACAGTTCTTATGATCATATGGAAAAAAATAAATGAAAGCTGGTGCAATGGTAAACGTCATTCGGTTTCCTCTTGAGTCTGGGCCTTTTGGGTCTGGGTCCCTCTGTGCAGCCAAGGCAGGTCAGATGGAGAGAGATGGACAACACCTGGCCAAATGGGTTCTACGCGAGCCTTCTGGGTCAACACTGCCTTTCAATAAAGACCTGGGCTGTGATGACTCCAGCCGTGTTCTCCACCACTGTGGGTGGTGTGCTCATAGTGGGTCCTTGGGCCATGGGACACTCCATTATATATATTGAACAACATGCCACCAAAGCATTTCCCATCTGACACTGCCCGGGGCCCATAACAAGCTACAGCAGCATCATAACTTTGCCAGCACGAAGCCCGGTGTCCTTTCAGTTTATCCGTGTGTATGAGTAAACACACTTACACTCACCTGCGCATACCCTCACACTACAGTCTACACTGTCCACAGTGGCACCACCTGCTACTGAGGGCCGTGCCTCTTATCAAGTCTTATTTCAAGCTGGCTCAGCATGAGGAAATTGTGTATGCAACACTGACTTTCAACTGAGTCACTCAAAAATTAGTAAAATCATTTCAGGTAGCTTGTGTTTTTCTTTTTCCTGCTTTCAAAAACAACCTCCAGAGGAGTTTTTTTAGCCACTTATTTAAAATGTTAATGAAGGAACATGTGAGTGCAGGGGCACTGAAACGAGGAGTTGATTTAAGTCATTCCAACGCATAAGCAAGTTCCAAATGCACTGAGAGGTGAGGAGGGGAAGATGCAAAGGGTGCCTTGGGAAGAACTTCTTTTGCGGGAAGCCCTTGGTGGCTCCCAGCATGCCCGCTGCGATGGCATTCACCCCATTGCAGTCATCGTCATCAAGGTGACTTTGTTGTTTCAGAAGGATCTGTTGTGGTCAGGGTTCCACCTGTTGTTCCCTAGACCATGGCCCTCCAGGCAGTTCTAGGCAGGTTCCAGCAAAAAGGTACTGGGGTAGAAACCAAGGACCAGGCCCACAGAAACAGGGACCCCAGGGGCTTCCAAGGGGGAGTGCTGACTGCCAGGTGCAGAATCCATACAATTACCCACCATGGGAGCCAGAGGGACCTGTGCAAATCCCTGGGGAGTGTGTTAGAATTTCCCCAAATACTGTAAAAGAGAAAAGTGCTCATACTTTATCACGTGAAAGACTAATGATATCTAGGAGCTGACACAGAACAGGAGGACTCTGACCACCACAGGACCAGCGAGATGTGTCAGGACAGAAATGAGCAAGCTTGAGTCTCCAGGCACACCTGGGGAAAGAGTAATGCAAGGCACACATCAGGGCTGTGACTCACTCCTCAAAGCAGGTTTGGGTCCCCAGGGTAAGAGTGAAGAGACAGCCTCCCCACATCATGTAGTGTGGATGGCAGGGCTGCAGGGGATGTAGTGCTCTTGCCGGTGGACTGCCAGAGACCTGGCAGCCAGACCCACTTCTTAGTGACGGCACATTCATTTCCTCTCTGGGATGCATTTCATCATATTCACTTTGTAACCACGATTCTTCCTGACAGCCTGAAACAGCAGGCTTTGCATCCTTTTCAGGCCTGGGGTCTGGCCTTACCCCAGGGGCTTCTGTTTCACCCACAACAGACTCGCCTCCACACCGGAGACCTGGTCAGTGCTGACAGCAGGGAGAGAAGCAGACAGAGGAGTCCAGCGCGGCCCTCCTGCATTCATAAATCCTACTTTCCAACGAACATCACGAACTCCCTGTCTCCTGCTCCCAGGAGGAGTCTCAGGTCTCAGGAGTGGTCAATGCTGAGATGACAAAGCTATTGAAATTCTGATCTCCATAGCCTTGAGGCCTCTAGTTTTGCCAGGAGACTGTCAGGAGGAGCTCCAGAAGAAAGAGGCACAGGATGTTTCACACTGCTTTTCCCAAGTGCAGCCAAGGGACAGCCTCTGCACACTGAGGTAATTCTAGATGATTGACTCCACGCTCTTCCCTCCTCCTTTCTAGTGAGTTTAGTGCTGGCTGACTGTAGAATACTTTATTCGCAGAAGCAAGTAGAAAAAATTGTCACTCTTAATTCACATGCTCCAATGTCAGACCAGGAGTGACCGGTTCTGGAGGGAAGTGCCAGGACTGGCTTATTTGTGTTCTCATCAGCCGCCACCATGCACATGGAGGTGGATTTCACTGGTGTTGATACATGCTTTCACATCCGCAAGAGGCTCTCCGAGGGACAGAAGTGACTTCACACCCACCATAGGCACTCCGAGGGACAGAAGTGACTTCACACCCACCACAAAGCCATTTCTGCTGCCAGAGTCCCCAATCTCCAACCCCCTAAAAAATTCTCCCCAAGGGGCGAGCTCCACCTATCTCACTTGTAATCAGTAGCATCGCCATTGTCTGAGAAATATTTATTCTGTCCAGTTTAAGCTTAATTTTCACAAACACTAAAAAGTAGTAAAATAGTCTTGAGCTTTTCCTTTAACTATATTTATATATAAAACCCTGAGAAGGTAGCTGTCAACTTGAAATTCACTATTTACAGTTAATTAACATCAGGGTGCAGGGAGGGACCCTGAGCCCCATCCCTGTGCACAGCAGGGGCTGGGCTGTCATTGTAAGAGAGCAAACCTGGTCTCCCTTCTGAGCAAAGAGGAGGGGGTGGGAGGGGCACGGTGGTGTAGGAATTCTTAGCCATTAGCATGGATGCTGGCAGGCCTGCTGATCACTCACTCTGGGGTCATGGAGGTCCCACCATGATAACACCACATTGCCTCACAGAGGCCCCTGCTTTTCTGTTCTTGGTAGAACTCAGGGTAGGTGGTGCCAGGGATGATAAAGAACTTAACCAACTGGGAGAAGAAAACAGGCAAAGGAAGGAAGGGTAAATGAGGAGGAGGAGATGAGGCAACAGGGGTGGGAGAAAGTGGTAATAAAGCCAGTGGGGAAGGTGTGGTGGCAACTGACAGAAGAGGAGAAGGGGGTCCATGCTCATCAGTCCCCTCCTTCCTGAACAACATGAGGGGTGCAGGGAGGGCGAGCCCTCAGTGAGTGAATGCAGAAGTTCAAAGAAACAAAAATAGACAAAAATAATAAATGTTATCCTAGGACACCAGGTTTTTAGAGAGGCCACTGTGAGACCTGTGAATGCCTGATGCCCAATAGTGCTGAGTGGGTAAGTGACAAGAAGCCTGCATCCCCCCCACCCCGCCAGCACTGTGCACCTCCTGAGACCGAGGAGCCTGTGTCACCAGTACCTAGGGCTAGAAGAAAGGGCTTCCAAATGGCTCAGGAAGATGAGTGGGCATTTCACTCCACCTCTGGGACCAGATGACCACACCTCCCCCGAGGAATCCGTTACCCAAAATAATTGAACATAATAATGTTGCTTAAATATAAACTGGCTCATCTGATCACCCCGACACTGACCCCAGGACACCCCCCTCAAGGTGGCTCCAGTTCCCCATCATCTAGACTTTTCTCCCTGTCCTCCCACACTCCCTGAGCCTGGCTGGAGGTCTGCTTGTCCCCTCTGCTGCCCACTCCAAAGAGAATAAGAAACCAAGAGCCTGGGCTCACCATAGGTCAAGGAAAGAGGTTTGGTGACACTTCCTTTGACTTGGAAAATTCCTCTACTAGCAAATCTGATTCCACATGGCAAAAATGAGAAGTGCTGGGCCAGTAGCCAGGCACACCGCTGCAGAAGCTACCTGGACCTGCCTCATGGGCCAAAGGGAAGGGTTGCCCACAGGCAAGCCACATCTAGAGTGACTCCAGAGAGACCAGGGAGAGTCCAGGATCCCATCAGGGATGACCCTTCTTTCAGTTGGGTCTGGTGGGTTTTCAAAATCCAGTCTTTCCACTGGGGCCATACCAAAGCTCCGGGGGAGGTCAGGCTTCCCAGTCCCACCAGAACCCCCCCGTGAAGTTGTCATTTTCTCTCAAGCTGCATACACTGGCCAGGTAAAGGCAGCTTCTACTCACCAGGCAAGTGGCCAGCTCACCTTCAGATTTGCCAAAGCAATCTGGGTCTTGACCCATACTTGTTGGCTTGGCAGGCTTTTCAAAATGCAGGTATCTCTGGAGCTGTTTTGTGGACACCAGGAGCATTACTTGACAAGCCCTGTGCTGGCCCCATGGTACCCTGTGCACCTGGGTAAGGCTGAAACACATTGGGAACAGGGACCCAACATGCCCACTCTGGAACAGCGTGGGACCTGGGGAAATTGCCAGTTGTTTTCTGTCCTACCATTGCTGTTCTACACATCCCTGGAGACTATGAGCATCGGTTACAGTGTGGTAGTGGCTGGTCAGGACCAGAAATATCCATTTTTGACCTGGAAGCAGCAGACACCCAAGGCTTAGTGTAGAAGTGGGTGCTCCATACCATTCCCAGTTGTCAACTTCCCATGGTGGAAACAGGAAGGAATGTCTAGTAACCCACCAAGGGTCAGATGCCACATCAGCCCGAGCGAAGCTGCCAGACACTGGCTGTTCCAATGCCAATTAGACATTCTTGGGAAGGTGGAGCCATTTGTGAGAGCTCAGGATGGGTGTCCTGGAAGTGCCTCTTAAAGGCGACTGAGGCCTCTCAAAATCCCTGTGTTAGAGCTGCAGCTCTCCATGTGGGCTGCAGTGCAGTCACCTATGGAGCTTTAGGACAAGCCCAGGGCTCAGCTCCCCAGACCAGTGCCTTCAGAACTTTCGCAGCAGGGATAGCCGGCTTGGAAAGGCATGCCTGGGAGACCATGTGACACTGTCTGGCTGGGTCCTGGGCTGACAGAGGTGAGCGTGGAGCTCGTGGTGACTTGGTAATGCTGTGAATTATGTACACGTGGCAGGAAGGTGCCACAATGCCAAGGCCCCACGTCTTGGAAATTCCATGAGGTCCGCATGAGGTTGAACTAAACATCAAGTGCAGTCCTCAAAGGAAAAATAAAAGAAATACCCACATAAGGGACTCTTTGGAACTGAGTCTGCAAGAGAGGGCTGTCTGGTCCACTCCAGGAGAATTTGCCTAAAATAAGTTTGCTTCCCACTGCATTCTCTTTGCTTGTTCTAAACATCACCTCCCCCCTATTCCTTTAACTTGCATCATTCTGGGCTCCTTACTCTTGTTGCATCCTTTTTTTACATTTGAAGGATGTCTGGATTCGATTAACTTAAGAGCATATATGGCTTAATTTGTATTTCTGATAATCATCTATTACTTTTCTCCCATTTTATCAAATGACACTTTTCCCTCATATCTATTTTTAATATGTTAAAGATGGTCTATCTGGATATTAAAGTCTATCCAGTTTATCTAAAACTCCTTGAATAAAAAGAGTTTAATTCTAGCAATACATGCATGCTTATCTCGGCATTGTTTTATAATTTGATGATAACTGTTTTTCCCCAATATATGAGTGTATGGATAATACTTTTTAAAAAGATATAATAAAATATGATATCTCTTTCTCACTTGATCATGTGGCTGAATGAGTCAATCCCTCCATCAAACAGAAATATCCGGCATCACTTAATCTAATTAATAAAAACATCCAGTGTGCATGTGCACCCACAATGAGAAGAAAAGACCAAAACAAACAGCCAAAAAGGAGAGAATCCCATGATTTCTGTGTAAACTCCTAAAGATATCATACACATTTATTGCTAGAAACAGTATTTTAAATACAAGGTCTTCAGGCAAGTGTATTAAAACTGCCTTGGATACAAGGGGCCCTATCACTTGTAAAACTTGGCAAATTGGATAACAATTAAAAATACAAAATCACACAGAAAATACCCTTTAATAAATTGAGGTTTTTTTGATTGAGACGGAGTTTGGCTCTTGTTGCCCAGGCCGGAGTGCGATGGCGCGATCTTGGCTCCCTGCCACCTCTGCCTCCTGGGTTCCAGCGATTCTCCTGCCTCAGCCTCCTGAGTAGATGGGATTACAGGCATGTGCCACCATGCTCGGCTAATTTTGTATTTTTAGTAGAGACGGGGTTTCTCCATGTTGGTCAAGCTACTCTCAGACTCCCAACCTCAGGTGATCCGCCCGCCTCGGCCTCCCAAAGTGCCGGGATCACAGGCGTGAGCCACCGCGCCCGGCCTAATAAATTGATCTTTAAAAACATCTTAATTGAGGTTCTCTAAAGGGAGCCTTTTAGGCAACATGCCCGCTAGGTGTACTGATTGCTAGGGTGGCTGGTGTCAGGCGAATCGATGTGGCTCCCCCAGCCCCTTCCTGGGAGCATCCTAGAAAGACAGCGTGGAAACGCGCACGGCCTGGTGGTCCCGGTAGCGGCCATGGTGCTCAGCCCCGCGGCCTCACCCTGCCCTCGAACCCCGTGTCAAGAACCTGCGGATTCTCACGTCCTCTTCTTCCACGGCGCCGGGTGCTTCTCCTGCACCTTGGCCTGGCGCTTCTTCTCGGCCTCCTCAGCCTCCGGTTTCTCCTCCGTGGCCACCTTGTAAGGCCACTTGGGTATCCGCAGGTGGCCACTGTCCTTGGTGCTGCCCTTCCGCGCCGGCCTCTGGGGCTGGAAGGTGGGCGCGGGAGCCTTGCTGAATAGCCTATTATGAACAGTACCACAGGGTGTACACACATAGAGAACATCTGCTGTGATATTAAAAGTTATACCTCCCTGGGATATTGTGAATAATATTACAGGGTCTACACACATGATGTACATCCACTGTGATTTTTAAAGTAATATCTCCTTAGGATATTACAAATAGTATCAATAGGTGTACACACCCTCTGACATTAAGATAACATCATTTTAAGATATTCCCAATAATATCCCAGGGTGTAGACCCCATGTGACATTAGGAGTAACATCTTCCTTGGATATTACGAATGAGATCACAGGGTTGACACCCCATGTGATTTTAAAATTAAAATCCCCCAGGAATATTACTAATAATAACACAGTGTGTACACCCTTGTGACGTTAGGAGTAACATCCTCCCAGGATATTACGAATAATATCAGAAGGTGTACACACATTGTGACATTAGTAGTAATATCGCACGAGTAAAGTGTGAATAATATCACAGGGTATACACACCTGTGACATTAGGAGTAACATCCCCCTGGAATATTCTGAATAATATCGCAGGGTTTACACCTCCTGTGACTTTAGGAGTATCATCCCGCTAAAGTATTACGTGAATAATTGTAAAATTACGAGCATCTCCCTAAGATATTATGAATAATATCGCAAAATGTGTACATACATGGCATATACCCCATGTGATGTTAGGAGTTACATCCTTTTAGTATATTAGGAATAATACCACAAAGGTGTTCACACATAGTTAACAGCATATGTAATATTTGGATTAACATCCCTCGAGAATATCACAAGGAACATCACAGGGGCTGTGCACACATGATGTACATGCCCTTAGACATTACGAGTACCTTTCCCTGACACATTTCCAGTAATATCACAGCGTTTACACCTTCTGCGACATTTGGAGTAACGTCCCCTAGGATAGTACGAATAATATCACAGGGTGTACATCCCCTGTGACCTGAGGAGTAATATCTTTCTAGAATACTACGAATAGTATCACAATGTGTACACCCCGTGTGTCATTAAAAGTAAAATTCCCCTAGGATATTATGACAAATAACACAGGGAGTACACCCCGTGTGACATTAGAAGTAACATCCCCCGAGGATATAACGTATAATATCAGAGAATGTACATGCATTGGGACAGCAGTAGTAATATCTCTTTCGGATAATACGAATAATATCAAAGGGCGTACATGCATTGTGAAATTACTAGTGAACTCCCCCTAGGATATTACGAATTTTGTGACAGGGTGTATATGCCCTGTGACATTCACAGTAACGTTTTCCTAGAATATTATGAAGAATATTAAAGGGTGTACAGGACCTGTGATTTACGAGTAAGATTTCCATAGAATATTACACTGTGTGTACACCCCGTGTGACATTAGGGGTAACATCCCACAAAACTATAACGAATAATTTCACAAGGTATACACCCTCTGCAACATTAAAAGTAACATTTCCCTAGAATATTAAGATAATATCACAGAGTGTACACCCCCTGTGATATAGGGAGTAACATCTTATAAGGTTAATACAAGTAATTTGATAAGGTGGACAAACCCTGTGACACAAGGAGTAACATCCCTCTAGGACATTACAAATAATATCAAAGGGAACACACCGCGTGGGACAATAAAGGTAACCTCCCCTTAGGATATTACGAATAATACCACAAGGTGTACACACACTGTGACATTATTATTAGTGTCCCACTAGGGTATTGTGAATAATATCACAGTGTGTACAGTCCTGTGACATCAGGATGAACATTCCCCTACAATATTATGAATAATATAGCAGGGTATACACCCCCTGTGATTTTGGTAGTGACATCCTCCTAGAATATGGAAAATACTGTCCCAGGGTGTTAACAAAGAGTGGCAGTAGAGGTAAAATCCTAGTAGTGGAGTAATATCACCCCGCCTATCCCCCCAGGATATTACGATCCACGGTGGACACACAGCGTGTTTACGTTATTGTGAGTAATATCTTCTCCGCCTCTGGAGATTACCAACTATGTCATAGACGGGTGTACATCCTCTGCACTATTTGCGGTAATGGCATCCACTTGCCCCTGGATATTAACAACAATATCACAGGAGTGTTTCTACCCCCAGCGGCATTTGGTGTAGTATCATCCTCTCCCACGCTGAAATTAGGAACAATATCACTGGGGGCGTGTACACACCCTGTGATATTGAAAGTAATATCATCCTCTTTTCTCCTGGATCATGGGACCAATATCAATGGGAAGCGTACGCTTTCTGCAATATTGGGAGTAATGTCATCCTCTCCCTCTTTGAATATTTAGGGCAATGTCACAGGGTGGGTGTACACTCTCTGCGATACTGGCAATATTATCCTCTCCCCAACCTGCATATTAGGAAAAATATCACAGAGTGGGTGTGCACCTTCTGCGATATGAGTAGTAATATCATCTTCTCCCCTTCTGGATATTAGGAACAATATCACTCGGGAGTGTACACTTTCTTCAAGATTGAGAGTAATATCATCCTCTCCGCCTTTGAATATTAAGAGAAATGTCACAGGGGGGATGTACAGCCCCTGAGATTTTGGGAGTAATATCGGGCTCTTTCCCTCCATGGATATTAGGAACAATATCTCAGGGTGGGTTTACATCTCCTGCTCTATGGGGAGTCGTATCCTCTCTTTTCCTGGATATTAGGGACAATATCACAGGGTGGGTGTACACAGCCTGCGATATTGCTGTAATATCATCCTCTCGCCCTCCGGATATTAGGAACAATATCACAGAAGAGGCGTACACTCCCTATGATATTGGGAGTAGTATCATTTTCTCCTTCCATGAATATTAGGAGCAATATCCCTGGGTGGATGTACACCCACCGTTACATTGGGAGTAATGTCATACTCTACCCCCTGGATATTAGGAGCAATATCACAGGGTGGGTGTACACCCATAGCGATATTGGGAGTTATTAATATCATGCTCTCCCCCTCTGGATATTAGGAACAATATCACAAGGGGGGTGTACACCCCGGCACTATTGCGAGTAATACCATTCTCTCTTATTCTGGATAGTAGGAATAATATCACAGGCGGGGTGTACACCCTCTGTGATATTGGGAGTAATATCATCCTCTCCCAACGTGGATATTAGGAACAATATCACAAGGGGGGCTGTACACGTCTTTGATATTGGTAGTAATATCATCCTCTCCCCCTTGCACATAAGAAACAGTGTGACAGGCGGGGTGGACACCCCCTGCGATATGGGGAGTAATATCACCCTCCTCTCCATCCCTGGATATCATGACCCACGGTGGACACACAGCGTGTTTACGATATTGTGAGTAATATCATCCCCCCCTCTAGAAATTATGAACAATATCACAGATTGGTGTAAACCCTCTGCAATATAGGGAGTGATAACATCCTCTCCACCCCGGAATATTAGGAACAATATCAAAGAAGTGTTTATACCCCCTGTGATATTGGGAGTAATACCATCCTCTCCCACGTTGAAATTCAAAACAGTGTCACTGGGGGCGTGTCCACCCCATGCGATACTGAAAGTAATACCATCCTCTTCTCTCCTGGATCATGGGAACAATATCACTGGGGTGGTGTACACTTTCTGCGATATTGGCAGTAATATCCTCTTCGCCTTGGAATATTAAGGACAATATCACAGGGGGGCTGTACACATCCTGCGCTATTAACAATAATATTATCCTCTCATGCCCTGCATATTAGGAAAAATATCACAGAGTGGGTGTACACCTCCTGCGATATGGGGAGTAATATCTTCTCTTCTTCTGGAAGTAGGAAGAATATCACACGCGTTTGTACACTTTCTGTGATATTGGGAGTAATATCAACTTCTCCGCCTTTGAATATTAAAAACAGTATCACAGAATGGATGTACACCCCCTGCGATATTGGGAGTAATATCAGCCTCTACCCTCCATGGATATTAGGAATAATATCCCAGAATGTGTGTTCAGCTGCTGCTGTATGGGGAATCATAGCATCCTCTCCCTTCCTGGATATTATTAGCAACAATATCACAGGGTGGGTGTGCATAGCCTGCGACATTGGGAGTAATATCACCCTCTCCCCCTCCGGATATTAGGAACAATATCACAGAACGGGTGTACACTCCCTGCGATACTGGGAGTAATATCATTCTCTTCTTCCGTGAATATTAGGAGCAATATCACCGGGTGGATGTACACCCACTGCTATATTGGGAGTAGCGTCATACTCCACCCCCCTGGATATTTGGATCAATATCACAGGGTGGGTGTACACCTACTGCAATATGGAAAGTAATACCATGCTCTCTCCCTCCCTGGATATTAGGAACAAAATCATAGGTGGATGTACATGCACTGCGGTATTAGGAGTAATATTATTATTAATTATTACTTATTTATTATTAACATTAATATTAATTACCAATATCAATATTGAGAAATAATTGCTAATAAAAAGTTTTCATATTATTAACATTAATATTAATTATTGGTACCTAATATTATTGTTTTCTAATTTATAAGATCAGTATCAATTGTTAATATCAGTCATTATTAATAATTAATATTAATAATTTAATGTCATTAATATAACTATTCAATAATAATTATCATTATTATCATTATTGATTTTAAATCACTCATTTAACAAAAACTCAGGCTACATACAACTACACAAAGGGCCTAACATTGTAAGCCCTTCGGGACTGCTTCAACCTTTCACTGACACAATAACACTTTTCAGCAAAGAACCCCTATGGCCCTCAACATCTACTATTAACCTTTATATTATTGCTCCAACCCTGGCCCTTTCTTTCGCTCTCCTATTGTGAACCCCCATCCCTATACCAGATCCTCTAATTAATTTTGATATAGGCCTCCTATTTTTACTAACCGTATCAAGCCTAGCCATCTATTCTATGATCAGGAAGAGCAATTAAATTCAAATTATGCACTATTTGGCGCATTACAAACTGTAGCCCAAACAATTTCATATGAAGTAACCCTAGCCGTTATCCTGCTATCAATTCTACTGATAAGTGGCTCGTTTAACTTATATGCACTCATCACAATGCAAGAAATCCTCTGACTGCTCCTATCATCATGGCCCCTAGACATGATATGACTTGTCTTCACACTAGCAGAAACTAATCGAGTCCCTATATTATATATATATATAATTTTTATATATATAATATATATTATATAAAATACAAATATATAAATATTTGCATATTATATATTTTATATATAATATAAATATATAAATATTTACCTATAATAAAAAATACATAATATATATAATATATATGATGATATATAATTTTTATACCCTCTGTAGAGGGAATTATTTTTGTTTCTATATCCATCCATAATAAAATACTGTGACTGTCCATAATAAAAATACTAGTGAAAAATAGGAATTATAGTCATGTAAGAGATAAAAGAAAATCTGTTAGTATCAATATATTAACACATATAGATGGTGTTGGTTTTTACAGGGTTTAGTAAAATGCATTCTAATTTTCTAAACAATTTCCACATTATAGTACATTTATTTTTCCCTCTTTCATGATTGGAAAGAGTGCAACAATATACATCCCTATACAATCATCCTTGATTACATCTAAGGGAGCTTTGGCAGTAGTAACATTACAGGGTTAATATATTCATATAGGTATTACAGGGTAACCAAACAACATTCCGAATTCTTTCATCAGCAAAGCCCAGTGTAATCCTAATCCAGGTAGCCACTCTAATTAATGCAATTAACTCAGATACATAAATATATACATATAAATATATATGTCTGCATGTGTGGATGCACTTAAATGGTTGCAAATACCATCGACTTTTCCTCTCAAACAGTATTTTTGTTGAGAATGAGGTATATTCAGTAGTTCATCAAAAATCTTTTTTAAATTCTTAGATGATTACATTTGTTACAATGACCAGCTGGATTAGAATTAGATTAGGTTTAAAATGATGAAAGAATCTGGGAGAGGGGGCAGAGTGTTGGTTGTTAATTAACACATGGATCAAAGGAGAGCACTGATGTGTTTAGAAGCCACAACATTGACAGGATAAAAGCCAGAACTAACAATCCAGTTGTAAATCTCTTTACTGTGGTATTTTTTTGCCATTTCTGCTCCATAAGACACACTTTAACCACTTTGTCATGGTATCTGCAGTATTCTATTTTAGTCTAAATAGCATTTTCTCTCAAATGCATTCTGTTTCTCTCTCCTTCAGCTTCCCTCCCTTCTTCCTTCCAGCTGTATTTTCTCACTAGAGAACACTAGTAGAATGTTCTCCCAAATTTCAGATTTCAGATACGCATCTGTAAAATAATCTTATGGAGACACATTTTAGTTGCTACTGAATACTTGGTTGTTTTCATAAGTTCACAGCATTACTACTGTCCTCCAAAAAATGGTTTCCCATTTCCACAGCTAATCTCATCATTGACTCTGTCATCCAAGTTTATTCTAGGCCACTCTGGAATAATCTGGAAAAATACTTAAAATACATTTTAAGTATTCATCATGCACATGAATTGTATTTTATTTTATATATGTTCGGGTGAATATCTTTCTCCACTAATGGTTTGCATTTCAATTCTTGTATCATGTTTTTTGAAACACAGAAGTCATCATTAATATAAACCAACTAATTTTTTTAATTGTTAATTTTTGTCCTGGTTAAGAAATCCTTATGAGAATATTGTGTCATGTTTCCCTTACCTTCAGGACTTGAATCTATTTGGAAGTGACTGTGTGTGTTTTGAGGTAGGAGTCAATATTTAGTTACTTTTTTAAAAAAAATTCAATAAATCCAGCATTGTTCTGATCACCTTGTGTATTTCAATGTAGAAGAGCACACTAATAATGCGGGATTATTTATATATGTGGTGAGAATTCCAAAATGAAGCCCAGCATGGAAGGTCAATTGATATAACTCAAAGGATAGATTAGTACAATGAAACATGATGGATAAGTGCAATACAGTTATATAAAGAGAAAGAAAAACAACATTTCCCAGTTATCATTAAGACTTCACTCCAAGTTTTTGCATGAAGCAAAATATCCTGACTCTCTTCCACTGATTTTAACTCCATTCAGACATGTCTGTCATCTATTATTTCACTCAGTGGTAGTGAGAAATAAAGAAAAAAAAAACAGAGAATATATTTCATGCCATGATCATGAATAATGAGTTTTCAAAAATTAATTAATAAAGAACCAATACATATACTTTTAGTGTTTTTACCACATTTAATAGTAACACAATAAATGAGTTTTAATAACATTAGAATGCAATTCAAGACATAAAACAGAACCTATTTGTCCTGTTTGATAAGGCACAAGGAAGAGGGCTTTATGGGATAAAGGGGTTCCCACAGCAGATAAACACATTTCTGATTTGTCTCTGGTCAGAGATGAATACAGCAAAAGATAGGCCTGAGAGGAGGTGAGAAGGAGCAATTAGGGATGGTGTATATAGGGGAGCTTTGATTAACATCAACGAAGCTCACAGTTCTAGCTTCACAATCCAGGAATAATCCTACATGGTTGGTAGGTCTTGGGACATACTGCAGTGTAACTGGGGAGGTGGTAAAGAGACTGCACTGAATGTCGTTCTTAACAATCCCAAGACTAAAGAGTCCCTCCTCTCCATATATATTGCCATTCTGATTCTTCCCTTTCCAGTACTTATTACAAACACCGAAAGCCCAATTCCAAGAGTCCCCCACATGGACCTCCCAGTAATACTTGCCAGAGGTGAAAGTCTGAGCACCCCATGCAAGAAAACTTGTAGGTGTTGCAGTGATATGGGGCGCATTTTGACGGTCACATCCAATACAAATGCTTCTCAAATCTCCACATCAGAAGATATGACTGTTGGCTTCATTATAATGCAGAGTAATATCCACTGCAAAATAAATAAATAAATAAATAAATAAATAAATAAATAAGAAAGAAAGAAAGAAAACATGCATAGGCATGTGTAAATAAGCAAAAATTGTTCTATCAAGAAGTTAATTTACCAGGAAATGTAAAGTCACAAGGACACTTGCTTGTAACTTCTAATAAAGTATAGAGATGATTAATATTATCTACAAGACAAAAAAAACGCTAACCACAGATATTAAAATTGTTTTGAAAACTTACATATTGAGAGCCAAATGTAAGACCAACTTCTTTCAATCCAATTTTCAAAGCAAAATTTGCTCATTATATGCCCTAAATGCTATGCTGTTATCAAGATCATTATTTAGAAATGTTTCTTATTCTTAAAAACTAGTGCTATCATTTTGGAAAGAATGTGAAGATTTTCAGTTACTCAAGAACTGCTCTAGATAACTGGATAAAAATCCATAAGTACACGTCATAAGTGATCATTTAAAGCAGATTTCTGCAAAATCTTTTACCAGTCTCTCTGTGGCCCTCCATGTTAGCTTGGGGCTGAAGCTGGATTTTAGACTTAACATGTAGCTTTTCATATTGCAATTAAACTGAACTTCTTTTTGTTTGTAATTTTACTTGCATTCACAAAATGATTTCTTTTTATGTTTACCCATTAACTAATTTTTTTGCAATACATGATACATATCCATTTAAAAAATTAAAAACCCCCAGCAATCCCCAGTAAACCATACTCCCCAAAAGAACAGTTCTTAGCTGTTCAAATGAATACACTAAGGAAATGTAAAATTTTGTATTTAACATTAAATAACTCACCTTCATTCTGAGCATTGTTCCATTTGCTCCTTTTTTAAATTTGCTACACTACTCCTTTTTCCCATTACATTACTCAGTATATATGAGGACAAAATGTATTTGTTTTTCACTATCTTTCAAACTTATTGCTATAAATCTGACTACACAGACACAGATACAAAAGGGTTGCATGATTATGTTGTTCACTTATGTCTATAAAGAAGTAAAATATTTGATAAAGGATGAAATATTACCTATGTGGTCCTAACAATAATAATATTTAGATAGTGGGAGTGCTGCCTATGGGTGGAGACTTACCTCAGAATTAGATGAGCCTGTCCCTCAGTCCAGTGATGGGCCCTGCACTGAGCTCTAGATTCAGAGGCTGGGGCATGTGCAGCAGCACGGACTCACTTCTGGAAGGAAAAACCTGCAGTTACAACATCTACAGCCATAAAATAAATAAAAATCACTATTTCTATTTAAAAGACAGTTCATGAGAATCCTGTGAATCCACAAATTTGATTATTCAAAAATTATTCCTTCCTTTTTGGAATTAATTTTTATTTACAGTTTCCAAATTTTAAAGCATAGTGGGAGAGCCTGAGTCAGAATTCAGTCTGATCTTTCTTTTTTTCTGCCCCACATGTGTAAGGTTCCTTAGCCTTATGGCCTTGAGAATATTTGGAAATGAAATTCTGAGTTCCACTTCTTGGCAGACTCCCCTGACCTCTTTGTCTGAAATAGCGGGGTTTTGGGGAGACTGCTGCATCTGCTGCTTCCTTTTCAAGATAAAGAATGTGAAATTTGTTCTAGACAGCTAGACGTGCCTTTTAGAAACAAGCTTCCCTAGAGACTTATACAGTCCTAACACTCCACAGTTTTTTCAACCTATTTTTCAGGACTATTAACTGATATGTATGTAGGTATGAACAACAAATCATCAACTTTTTCACTGCTAAAATACTTCCCCCACTTCTCTCCTGCTTCCTCTGGTGACTTTCTAACCATCCACAAAACAAAACTTTATCTTTCACCCATGCAGGCTTTTAAGCAATAAAACAAACTCAGGAATAAACATTTTTTTATTTCACTATTTATTTATTTATTTTTTTATTTAGTGTTCTTGTCTTTTCTGGTGTGAGAGTGAAAGCAGATGCAAAAACAAAAAGGTAGTATCAATATCTGAATCATTTATGCCATGACTTTGGTAGAGCCTGCTTTGATATTCATGGAAACTGAAGGAATATATGCTAAAATCTACATAAACACTCACCTGTGTAATATGTCTCCAAAACCCTGTAAAAAAAAATAGAAATACGTAGGACATTTCACAAGATGCATCTTTCACTAAGTTTAGTGTGAAATTTGGAGTCAGGCACAGAAAGACAAATATTACATGTTCTGACTCATATATGTGGGACCAAAAAAAAGGTTTTCTCATGGAAGTAGATACCAGAGGCTGAAGAGGGTGTGTACATGGGTAGTGTGTAAATAAGAGAGGTTGGTTAATGGGTAAAAACATACAATTAGATAGAAGAAAAACATTCTAATGTTTGTTAGCTGAGTAGACTATCATTAACAAAAATATATTGTTTGTTCTAAAATGTCTATAAGAGAGAACTTGAAATGTTCCCAACACATAGAAATGATAAATATGTGAGGTGATGGATACTGTAAATACCCTAACCCTAACATGATCATTACTCATTCTATGACTGTAAAAAAAAATCATGTGTACCCTATAAATATGTAAAAATATGTATCCATGACAAAAGCAATTTAAAAAATTACTTTTTGTAAAAAAATTGCCAAATATTATTTTTTTAAAGTAAAATTAAGTAAGAAAACAGATTTTGGCGTGTAGAAAAAGGTAACTTGAGAGAATCTCTATAAATCATCTTGAAGCATAAAGACTTGTATTCATGACTTGATAAGCTATTAGAAAACAATAAAGCTTTAAAATATTCTGAACTAATGACTGAATGATATCTAATATTCACTTTATTAGCTGGCAAGTCTAATAATATGAAGTCAGAGTACTGAAGAAACTACATCTGTTTTCCCTGCCTTTGAAAGGAAATAAAACCTATGAAGGCTTCCTTTAAAACAGCACAGACGTGTCCAAGAATGTATCTGGTCTTCCTTGTCTCACCACTTTATTAATAATTTGACTTTTCCTATTGCAAGTGATTGATTAATTGAATGCACATTTAAGCCTCATAGAAAGTGCTCATTTCTTCAGACGTGCTTTGCAAAGGCCAGAAATTCACCATTCAGTAAGAAAAGCTTTGAAATAGACCTGTCATAAACTCATGGGGAGCGTGTCCTAAGGAGACACCTCTGTTCTCCACCAGGAGACTTTTAGCTGGCTTACTTGCAGAGAAACATACATTTAGTCTACTTTTTCACTTTTAGGGTTTGAGAATCCTGCCTTTTACTTAGGCTGACTGAGTTAAGGAGAATCATTTTTCTGCCTCTCTATTACTGCCAATTTCTTTCCCCCTGCAGTTTCAGCCACTCTAAAATATCTATAATGTATTAGGTATGAAAGATATGAAGATTTATAAACCTTTACCCACACTTTCAAGGAGCTTATATTCTAGTGTAAGAGGAAAAAGAAGAAAACAGAAAAATAAAAATGAAAACTTCCAGGGATTTTTTAAGGGATCTGTGGAAGTCTTACTGGAGTTCAGGATATCTTCCAAACTGCCTGGAAATGTCTTACATGATAAACCAGATACATAAACCTGAGTATATAGGTAAAAGACAGGGAAGTAATTCCAGGGAGAAAACAGTGTAGGTTACACTGTAAGCTAGATATGGTCAGCGAATTGTAAGCATTTTGAGATATAGGTGAAGATACAGCAGTGGGAAGGTGCAGAAGTGTGTCAATTCTGATATTCGGCTGGTATGCATCAGCATAAATTAACCCATTGGTTATGACTTGCATCTGTTTTGATTGGATCCACATCTTACTAGTTGTTACATATTTTAAATCTCACCTCTGAGTAACATAGGAAGTGATTGGCAGATTTTAGGCCATGTAGTGTATGCCAAATTATGGAGTGGAATATGATGGCAAAGGGGAGTCAGCTAAGATCATTTTGCAGAAGGATGAAACAATTACATTTGTTTTACAGAAAACAACTCTGAGGAAACTGGGGACGATGGGATGAGGAAAAAAGAAAAGAAGCATTTTTAATCCATGTTATTGATACAATTTAGCAAATGAGAGGTGTAAAAATAACTGTATTAAAAAGACTAATATCTATACCCAAAGAGTACACTTCTTATTAAACTTAGCACATTCTTTTATTTTAGGTAAAATTAAATCACTTAGTGTTGAATGAGGAGGTAATTCAAATGCATTGCCTGTTGCAATTGCTTTGAACATTATGTTCCAGGATGTTGAAGTCAAAAAAAGCTCCTTTGTTCTGGGTCTTCTCTCCACTGAGAATCATGGCATTCAAGCCTGTACCCTCAACTCCAACCAACACTCCTAAGACTCTCAGATCTCATAACCCATCAGAAGCCCTTAAACCTCAATAAGGATTGAAAAAAAAAGTGGAGTTTATGTGCAAACCATGACTACTTTTGAGTAATATTGAAAACTTAATACTGCTATGTAAGTAGGCATATTCATCTTCACAGATGAAAAAACTCTGGATCAGGTAGCAAACCTCTCCTGTAAAGGGTCAGATAGTAAATATTTAAGGCTCTATGGGACATATGATTTCTATTAAAACTGTTCACTTCTGCAGTTATAGCCCCAAAGCAGCCATAGACATTATGTCAATGAATGCGACTATGTTCCAAAGAAACTATTGTACAAAAATAGAATTCGGCTGATGAGCCTCAGTTAATCAGTCACTGTTTTTAGTATGATTTATCACAATGCCTGCCAACTAATAGAAATATACATATGTATATATGTGTGTATATAAATCTGTGTGTGTGTGTATATATATATGTATGATAGTTCACATCTTCTGTTAATTCCACAAAATCATGTCAATCTTCTAGAAACAGGCCAGGCGCAGTGGCTCATGCCTGTAATCTCTGCACTTTGGGAAGCTGAGATCACTGGAAGTCAGGAGTTTGAGACCAACGTGGCCAAGATGGCAAAACCTCATCTCTAATAAAAAATATACAAAAATTAGCTGGGCATGGTGGTGCATGCCTGTAATCACAGCTACTTGGGAGGCTAAGGTTGGAGAATCGCTTGAACCCAGGAGACAGAGACTGCAGTGACTTGACATACCGCCACTGCACTCCAGCTTGGGTGATAGAGTGAGTAAGATTCTGTCTCAAAACAAAAAACAAAAACCAAAAAACAAAAACAAACAAAAAAAAACCAAATCTAGAAAACAATAAAGAGCAAATGTTTTTGACTGGAATTCAGCACAGAATAATATTCAGTTTGCTTTTGTTTCTCTGTAGATGTTTACACACACTTATAAAGCAACTTCAAACTTTTCTGTTTACTAAAAACTAAAGTTTCATCAAAAAGTTTAGTTTCCTGGGAAAATGGAAGTGCAGTTTGAATAGTCCATCTAATTATTAAATTTTCTTGATTACAGAAAGTGTAATTGCTCCTGGTTTGTTAATCTTATTTTTTTTAAAAAAGAAACATTTTCAGAATCACCTTTAATTCTACATTTTCCTTTGTTCAAATTATCTATCTTGAAAATAGAGAAAAACATATTCTCTTATACTGTAAGGACAAAATTTATTACTGAAATTGAGGATTATCAAAGATCCAGAGATGGTTTTCCAGAATGGTTTAGGATACAGGTTACCTTCCAATATCCTCACTGCCATTTACTGCCTGTGGGACCTTGAGCAAATTAGTTGTCTCTCTGTGTCTCAGTTTCTTCAGCTATAAAATGAAGTTAGTAATAATAGCTTACAAATAGAATTGCTATAAAAAGTCAATAAATTAATACATGAAGATCAACCACTTAGAACAGTGCTTGCTAAATAAAGATCACTCTATAAAAAGTGATTATTATCAAAATGTTTTAAATATTTATCTAAACAAATGTTCGCAGTGCAATCAATCTCAAAGCTACCAGCGCACTTTGAGATGCAGATTACTTTAAAGGACAAGCTCTAGTATTAGAAGAGGGCTTCAAAGTCCTGGGTTGGTTTCATCCTGGACATAGGAATACTTCATCCAATAACATCAAAAGCCCCTGTTCATTTTCAGTTGTCAGACCTACAGCACCTCCCACGGCAACTGGTATTATTTACATTTCAGCTTATATCTAGCAAGCAGAGTTGCATTTAAAGACATAAGTAACGTCGGCCGGGCGCGGTGGCTCACGCCTGTAATCCCAGCACTTTGGGAGGCAGAGACGGGCGGATCACGAGGTCAGCAGATCGAGACCATCCTGGTTAACACGGTGAAACCCCGTTTCTACTAAAAATACACAAAAAAATAGCCAGGCGTGGTGGCAGGCGCCTGTAGTCCCAGCTACTTGGGAGGCTGAGGCAGGAGAATGTCATGAACCCAGGAGGCGGAGCTTGCAGTGAGCCGAGATCGCGCCACTTCACTCCAGCCTGGGTGACAGAGTGAGACTCCATCTCAAAAAAAAAAAAAAAAAAGACATAAGTAATGTCTCTGAGTTTCAGATTCTTCATCTATAAAGTTAGGTTAATATTACTCACTTCAGAAGGGACTTGTGAGAAATAAAAGAAATATCTCATTCTTTACATTTTAATAGGGGTGTTTGAGGGGAACTTTTATGCTCCAGGAGAGGAAAGCATGGAAGGAAAACACACAGCTTTATTCCACCATCTTCCTACTATCCTTTCTGGGGATAGTGACTCACCTGTCTGGTGAAACTGGAGAAGGGGTTAAGTGTGTATGACTCCATCTCTTCTTTTCATGGAGCAGTCTGTTCTCTGAACCTAAGAGTTTTTCTGTTGTCCTTCCAAAAGCTATCTATTAAAGCAAGCAAGTCCTGTGATTGTTCAGCCCTGTCTGTGACTGTGGGGATGGAGAAGAATATTTGGTCACAGATCAAAGATTTGGTTTTATTTAGCTAATGTATACTAACTCCATGACTTCTTGCTGGTATTTAATTTGAGAAAAGGGCTATTGTTTAATGAACCTTTAAATCCCTAACAGTGAGAAATTAATATAATACTTTATGTGACTCTACAGTTACAAATGTTAAATTTGGTGTTACTTTAAAAATATCTTGCATTATAGTTTAACGAAATCTTTCTCTCCTCATTGTTTATTACAGATGGAGTAATATCTTTCAAAAATAATAAATGAAACCACTTATTAGCAGTAGAGGTTTCCTGGTTTCCAATCTCCACTGACTGTTTCTCAACCCACTGCCACACCCCTTATGCTACACACACACACACACACACACACACACACACACACACAAACTTCCTTCTCCGAATTGCCTCTAAATTTAGGAAGAAAGGCCATCAAGTGATTTTTCTATTTCTAAACTTTTAAGCTATATCTGCCCCAACACATTTTTAAATTTCTGTTCTAGTTCTGTAGTACATCTTCTCAGTTGGTTTCCTCCACCTGGACTTTAAATGCCACCCCTTCCCACATTTTTATGCATTTCATACTATTCATAACCCTCTTTTCATTAATTAAATCACCTATCCTACCTAGATACCAAAATTAACCAATTAAATAAACAACTGACCTTTGCATGCAAGATACAGATACTATATATCATAAAATTTTAAAAATCTAAAAATTATAAAGCTTGGCATTATCTGAAGGTCATAAAGCCCAAATTAAATGACAAGAGTAAAAATATTTTCAACATATTCCAATGAGCTACCGTCCTTAATTTATAGTTTTTAGAAATCAATAAGGAAAAATAAATAAAAAAATGGTTTTAGTATATGGATAGGTAGCTTTTAGGAAATATTGACATAATATTTACTATCTTACTCATAATTTTAAAACTACAAATTAAAATATTATGATGCCATTTTGATTCATAATATTATCAAAGTGCAAATGATTTAATAATACCATGAGTCGACAGAGAAATACAAGTGCTTTTCACTATATATTTTGTTCACCACTTAAATTATTTTTCATGATTATAAATTACATCTTTAGAGAGAAATAAAATGTTAATGTTAAAAAATCTCTCTTTACCTCATTTTCCCTTAAAATATACAGTTGACCCTTGAACAACGCAGGAGTTAGAGGCAACATCAGCTTACACAGTCAAATATCTACATATAACTTTTGACTCTCCTAAATCTTAACTACTAATGGCCTACTGTTGACCCAAATCCTTACAACTAACATAATCGTTGATTAACATGTATTTTTGTATGTTGTATGCATTATATACTGTATTCTTATAATAAAGTAAGCAAGAGGAAGAAATGTTATCAAGAAAATCATAGGGAAGAAAAATATATATTTACTATTCATTAAGTAGATGTGGATCATCATAAAGGTTTTCATCCTAATTGTCTTCATACTGTAGGCTGATGGGGAAGAGGAAGGGAAGGGGTTGGTCTTGCTGTTTCAGGGGTGGCAGTGGTGGAAGAGGCGGATGAGGTGGAAAGGGAGGCAGGAGAGGAAGGCACACTTAGTTTAACTTAACACATTTAAGGAAATGCATTTTTGCCTTTTTTTTCTTTTTCATTTCTCCAAAAATGTTTCTATACAGTACCAATCCTTCTTCCACTGTTAGCTTTAATTTCAGTCCCTGTATCATAGAAAGGATCATGTCATAAAAGAAGTCAAAAGCAGTCTTGAATAACTGAAACCCTCCTGCCAGATTATCTAATGTCAATTTGTTTTCTGTCACTACTTCTTCAACATCATCTTCCTCCTCATCTGGCACTGGTCCAAAAGCACTTATCTCCATCAAAGTCATCTTCTGTTAATTCTTGTAGTGTGATGTCTGTTAGCTCTTGAATTTCTCCAAGATCCATATTCTGAAACCCTTCACCCCCACCTTTTCTTTTTTATACCCATGATCTCATGATTTCCTTGACTGGCTCTATCATAAATATTGTGAAGTGATACATAAAATCTGGAAACAGTTTTCTTCAGCAGGAATTTATTGTATCAGGCTTGATGGCTTTCAGGGCTTTTTCCATAACAACAGTTGTATCTTCAGTGGTATAATTTTTCCAGACTTTCATGATGTTGTCTCTATTCGGATCCTCTTCAAACCATTGACGATCCTTTCCATAGAGTACTGTGTGTATTGAGCCTTTATAGTCCTTATGACCCCTAATCTAGAGGCTGAATTAGAGACTTTTTGTCTGGAGGCAAGTAGATACTTTCCATGTTGAACTCATGAGGTTCTGGGTGGCAAGGGGCATTGCTCAATAGCAAAGGAACTTTATAAGGCAGTCCTTCCTAGCCAGGTACTTCATGATTTCAGGGACAAAGTGCTGATGGACACAATCAAGGAAAATAGCTCTAAATGTCCAGGTCTTCTTCTTGTACAACCAAAAGACTGGTAGCTGATGTTTATCTTTTCCCTTCAATGCTAGGAGATTAGCAACTGTGTAGATAAGAAAAGTCATGATCATAATAAACCTGACTGTATTGTCACAAAACAGGAGGGTTAGCTTACTCCTTCCTGCCTTAAATCCTAGTGCTCACTTCTCTTCTTTACTAATAAATGTTCTTTGTGGTATTTTTCTGTACAGAATAGAGCACTTTGACACACATTAAAAACCTGTTGCAGCAAATATTCCTTCTCCTCAGTGGTTTTCTTAATGGTGTCTTGGAACTTGTCTGCTGCTTCTTGGGCAACAGAAGCTGTTTTTCTTATTATCTTGACAATTTTTAAGCCAAATATCTTTGTAAAATTATCAAACCATCCTTTGCTAACACTAAATTCTCCAGCTTTAGATCCTTCACCTTCCTTTTGAGTAAGTCATCTTTAATGACTTTTCTTTTTCTTGAATAATATTAGACTCTATATGTATGCCTTTGTTATACCCAATCCTACACCTACATAAAAGCTGCATGTTCAAAATTACATAAAAAGGTATTTCCCCAGAAGAGCAAGTTTTCACATCTGCTGGTGTAGCCACAGGGATGGCTTCATACGTTTCCTTTTCTTTCATTACGTTGGTCTTTCCTTATGCTGGATTTGTTTATCTTGAAATGAAGGGCATCTGCAGCTGCAGACCTGAATCCACAGTACATATTAAGCAACTCAACTTTTTCTTGTAATATCATGACTTTTCTCTTCGTCTTGGGAGCAGTTTCAGCACCACTACTGACACCTTTGCTCCCATGGTGTTATTTAAGGTTCACAGTATTGCAAAAGACATGATAAAAAATGTGCAATAATCAGGAACAATCACTTTTCACTGTGATGTGTGATTTAGTGGTGAAATGAACAGTTCACAGGGAGATGATTAGCCTCAAACTGTGATTTAAGCAGATACTCACAATACTTGAGACCATTGCAATATCAATAGGAGGTGGCTTTGAAATTACTACAGTAGTACAACATGTACTACAGTTAATTTTATGTAGTTATGATTTAATAGTAAATCTTTGTTTTCTCTTAATCAGGAATGGCTCACAAGTGTGCACAAAAGTTTTGAAAAATTTTAACTTTTTATAATAGATTGGTGTAGATTTTATGGTAGTAAATGATAAAATAGTATATGTAAATATTATATTCATTTATCACACATATTTTCTTATTTTTAAAAAAATATTCCTCTCCCTCTCCCTCTCTCCCTCTCCCCACGGTCTCCCTCTCCCTCTCTTTCCACGGTCTCCCTCTGATGCCGAGCGGAAGCTGGACTGCGCTGCCGCCATCTCGGCTCACTGCAACCTCCCTGCCTGATTCTCCTGCCTCAGCCTGCGAGTGCCTGCGACTGCAGGCGTGTGCCGCCGCGCCTGACTGGTTTTCGTATTTTTTTGGTGGAGACAGGGTTTCGCTGTGTTGGCCGGGCTGGTCTCCAGCTCCTAACCGCGAGTGATCCGCCAGCCTCGGCCTCCTGAGGTGCCGGGATTGCAGACGGAGTCTCGTTCACTCAGTGCTCAATGTTGCCCAGGCTGGAGTGCAGTGGTGTGATCTCGGCTTGCTACAACCTCCACCTCCCAGCCACCTGCCTTGGCCTCCCAAAGTGCTGAGATTGCAGCCTCTGCCTGGCCGCCACCCCGTCTGGGAAGTGAGGAGCGTCTCTGCCTGGCCGCCCATCATCTGGGATGTGAGGAGCCCCTCTGCCTGGCTGCCCAGTCTGGGAAGTGAGGAGCGCCTCTTCCCGGCCACCATCCCCTCTAGGAAGTGAGGAGCGTCTCTGCCCCGCCGCCCATAGTCTGAGATGTGGCGAGCGCCTCTGCCCCACCACCCCGTCTGGGATGTGAGGAGCGCCTCTGCCTGGCCGCAACCCCGTCTGGGAGGTGAGGAGCGTCTCTGCCCGGCCGCCCCGTCTAAGAAGTGAGGAGCCCCTCCACCCAGCAGCCGCACCATTTGGGAAGTGAGGAGCATCTCCGCCCGGCAGCCGCCCCGACCGGGAGGTGGGGGGCAGCCCCCGCCCGGCCAGCCGCCCTATCCAGGAGGGAGGTGGGGGCAACACCCACCTGGCCAGCCGCCCCGTCCAGGAGGGAGGTGGGGGGTAGCCCCTGCCCGGCAGCCACCCCGTCCGGGAGGTGGGGGACAACCCCCGCCCCGGCCAGCCTCCCTGTCCGGGAGGTGGGGGGCAGCCCCCGCCCAGCCAGCCGCTCCATCCAGGAGGGAGGTGGCGGGCAGCCCACACCTGGCCGGCCGCCCATCCGGGAGTTGTGGGGCGCCTCTGCCCGGCTGCCGCCCTGTCCGGGAGGTGGGGGGAGCCTCTGCCCGGCCACCCCATCTGGGAAGTGAGGAGCCCCTCTGCCCGGCCACCACCCCATCTGGGAGGTGTACCCAACGGCTCATTGAGAACGGGCCATGATGATGATGGCAGTTTTGTCCAATAGAAAAGGGGGAAATGTGGGGAAAAGATAGAGAGATTGGATTGGTGCTGTGTCTGTGCAGAAAGAAGTAGACATGGGGGACTCCATTTTGTTCTGTACTGGGAAAAATTCTTCTGCCTTGGGATGCTGTTAATCTATAACCTTACCCCCAACCCCGTGCTCTCTGAAACATGTGCTGTGTCCACTCAGGGTTAAATGGATTAAGGGTGGTGCAGGATGTGCTTTGTTAAACAGATGCTTGAAGGCAGCATGCTCGTTAAGAGTCATTACCACTCCCAACTTCCCCAATCTAGCAAGGCAGGCCAACGTTCAGATTCAGGAAATACAGAGAATGCCACAAAGATACTCCTCAAGAAGAGCAACTCCAAGACACATAATTGTCAGATTCACCAAAGTTGAAGTGAAGGAAAAAATGTTAAGGGCAGCCAGAGAGAAAGGTCGGGTTACCCTCAAAGGAAAGCCCATCAGACTAACAGCGGATCTCTCGGCAGAAACCCTACAAGCCAGAAGAGAGTGGGGGCCAATATTCAACATTCTTAAAGAAAACAATTTTCAACCCAGAATTTCATATCCAGCCAAACTAAGCTTCATAAGTGAAGGAGAAATAAAATACTTTATAGACAAGCAAATGCTGAGAGATTTTGTCACCACCAGGCCTGCCCTAAAAGAGCTCCTGAAGGAAGCGCTAAACATGGAAAGGAACAACCGGTACCAGCCGCTGCAAAATCATGCCAAAATGTAAAGACCATCGAGACTAGGAAGAAACTGCATCAACTAATGAGCAAAATCACCAGCTAACATCATAATGACAGGATCAAATTCACACATAACAATATTAACTTTAAATATAAATGGACTAAATTCTGCAATTAAAAGACACAGACTGGCAAGTTGGATAAAGAGTCAAGACCCATCAGTGTGCTGTATTCAGGAAACCCATCTCACGTGCAGAGACACACATAGGCTCAAAATAAAAGGATGGAGGAAGATCTACCAAGCCAATGGAAAACAAAAAAAGGCAGGGGTTGCAATCCTAGTCTCTGATAAAACAGACTTTAAACCAACAAAGATCAAAAGAGACAAAGAAGGCCATTACATAATGGTAAAGGGATCAATTCAACAAGAGGAGCTAACTATCCTAAATATTTATGCACCCAATACAGGAGCACCCAGATTCATAAAGCAAATCCTCAGTGACCTACAAAGAGACTTAGACTCCCACACATTAATAATGGGAGACTTTAACACCCCACTGTCAACATTAGACAGATCAACGAGACAGAAAGTCAACAAGGATACCCAGGAATTGAACTCAGTTCTGCACCAAGCAGACCTAATAGACATCTACAGAACTCTCCACCCCAAATCAACAGAATATACATTTTTTTCAGCACCACACCACACCTATTCCAAAATTGACCACATAGTTGGAAGCAAAGCTCTCCTCAGTAAATGTAAAAGAACAGAAATTATAACAAACTATCTCTCAGACCACAGTGCAATCAAACTAGAACTCAGGATTAAGAATCTCACTCAAAGCCGCTCAACTACATGGAAACTGAACAACCTGCTCCTGAATGACTACTGGGTACACAACGAAATGAAGGCAGAAATAAAGATGTTCTTTGAAACCAACGAGAACAAAGACACCACATACCAGAATCTCTGGGACGCATTCAAAGCAGTGTGTAGAGGGAAATTTATAGCACTAAATGCCTACAAGAGAAAGCAGGAAAGATCCAAAATTGACACCCTAACATCACAATTAAAAGAACTAGAAAAGCAAGAGCAAACACATTCAAAAGCTAGCAGAAGGCAAGAAATAACTAAAATCAGAGCAGAACTGAAGGAAATAGAGACACAAAAAACCCTTCAAAAAATCAATGAATCCAGGAGCTGGTTTGTTGAAAGGATCAACAAAATTGATAGACCGCTAGCAAGACTAATAAAGAAAAAAAGAGAGAAGAATCAAATAGACACAATAAAAAATGATAAAGGGGATATCACCACCGATCCCACAGAAATACAAACTACCATCAGAGAATACTACAAACACCTCTACGCAAAAAAACTAGAAAATCTAGAAGAAATGGATACATTCCTCGACACATACACTCTCCCAGGACTAAACCAGGAAGAAGTTGAATCTCTGAAAAGACCAATAACAGGCTCTGAAATTGTGGCAATAATCAATAGTTTACCAACCAAAAAGAGTCCAGGACCAGATGGATTCACAGCCGAATTCTACCAGAGGTACAAGGAGGAAATGGTACCATTCCTTCTGAAACTATTCCAATCAATAGAAAAAGAGGGAATCCTCCCTAACTCATTTTATGAGGCCAGCATCATTCTGATACCAAAGCCGGGCAGAGACACAACCAAAAAAGAGAATTTTAGACCAATATCCTTGATGAACATTGATGCAAAAATCCTCAATAAAATACTGGCAAACCAAATCCAGCAGCACATCAAAAAGCTTATCCACCATGATCAAGTGGGCTTCATCCCTGGGATGCAAGGCTGGTTCAATATACGCAAATCAATAAATGTAATCCAGCATATAAACAGAGCCAAAGACAAAAACCACATGATTATCTCAATAGATGCAGAAAAAGCCTTTGACAAAATTCAACAACCCTTCATGCTAAAAACTCTCAATAAATTAGGTATTGATGGGACGTATTTCAAAATAATAAGAGCTATCTATGACAAACCCACAGCCAATATCATACTGAATGGGCAAAAACTGGAAGCATTCCCTTTGAAAACTGGCACAAGACAGGGATGCCCTCTCTCACCACTCCTATTCAACATAGTGTTGGAAGTTCTGGCCAGGGCAATCAGGCAGGAGAAGGAAATAAAGGGTATTCAATTAGGAAAAGAGGAAGTCAAATTGTCCCTGTTTGCAGACGACATGATTGTTTATCTAGAAAACCCCATCGTCTCAGCCCAAAATCTCCTTAAGCTGATAAGCAACTTCAGCAAAGTCTCAGGATACAAAATCAATGTACAAAAATCACAAGCATTCTTATACACCAACAACAGACAAACAAAGAGCCAAATCATGGGTGAACTCCCATTCACAATTGCTTCAAAGAGAATAAAATACCTAGGAATCCAACTTACAAGGGATGTGAAGGACCTCTTCAAGGAGATCTACAAACCACTGCTCAAGGAAATAAAAGAGGACACAAACAAATGGAAGAACATTCCATGCTCATGGGTAGGAAGAATCAATATCGTGAAAATGGCCATACTGCCCAAGGTAATTTACAGATTCAATGCCATCCCCATCAAGCTACCAATGACTTTCTTCACAGAATTGGAAAAAACTACTTTAAAGTTCATATGGAACCAAAAAAGAGCCCGCATTGCCAAGTCAATCCTAAGCCAAAAGAACAAAGCTGGAGGCATCACACTACCTGACTTCAAACTATACTACAAGGCTACAGTAACCAAAACAGCATGGTACTGGTACCAAAACAGAGATATAGATCAATGGAACAGAACAGAGCCCTCAGAAATAATGCCGCATATCTACAACTATCTGATCTTTGACAAACCTGAGAAAAACAAGCAATGGGGAAAGGATTCCCTATTTAATAAATGGTGCTGGGAAAACTGGCTAGCCATATGTAGAAAGCTGAAACTGGATCCCTTCCTTACACCTTATACAAAAATCAATTCAAGATGGATTAAAGATTTAAACATTAGACCTAAAACCATAAAAATCCTAGAAGAAAACCTAGGCATTACCATTCAGGACATAGGCGTGGGCAAGGACTTCATGTCCAAAACACCAAAAGCAATGGCAACAAAAGACAAAATTGACAAATGGGATCTAATTAAACTAAAGAGCTTCTGCACAGCAAAAGAAACTACCATCAGAGTGAACAGGCAACCTACAACATGGGAGAAAATTTTCGCAACCTACTCATCTGACAAAGGGCTAATATCCAGAATCTACAATGAACTCAAACAAATTTACAAGAAAAAAACAAACAACCCCATCAAAAAGTGGGCGAAGGACATGAACAGACACTTCTCAAAAGAAGACATTTATGCAGCCAAAAAACACATGAAGAAATGCTCATCATCACTGGCCATCAGAGAAATGCAAATCAAAACCACTATGAGATATCATCTCACACCAGTTAGAATGGCAATCATTAAAAAGTCAGGAAACAACAGGTGCTGGAGAGGATGCGGAGAAATAGGAACACTTTTACACTGTTGGTGGGACTGTAAACTAGTTCATCCATTGTGGAAGTCAGTGTGGCGATTCCTCAGGGATCTAGAACTAGAAATACCATTTGACCCAGCCATCCCATTACTGGGTATATACCCAAATGACTATAAATCATGCTGCTATAAAGAGACATGCACACGTATGTTTATTGTGGCATTATTCACAATAGCAAAGACTTGGAACCAACCCAAATGTCCAACAATGATAGACTGGATTAAGAAAATGTGGCACATATACACCATGGAATACTATGCAGCCATAAAAAATGATGAGTTCATATCCTGTGTAGGGACATGGATGAAAATGGAAACCATCATTCTCAGTAAACTATCGCAAGAACAAAAAACCAAACACCGCATATTCTCACTCATAGGTGGGAATTGAACAATGAGATCACATGGACACAGGAAGGGGAATATCACCCTCTGGGGACTGTGGTGGGGTCGGGGGAGGGGGGAGGGATGGCATTGGGAGATATACCTAATGCTAGATGACACATTAGTGGGTGCAGGGCACCAGCATGGCACATGTATACATATGTAACTAACCTGCACAATGTGCACATGTACCCTAAAACTTAGAGTATAATAAAAAAAAAAAAAAAAAAAGAAAGTAAATTGGTAGAGAACAGGATGTGGCACCACGGAATTAGGGGAAGTTAGGGGAAGTAGTAGTAGAGGAGGGTGAAAATGATCAGTTCAGTTTTGGGTATAATGAGTTTAAGATACTTGTGGAACATTGAAATGAGGATTTCCAGCTGGCTCTTACATCAAATGGCTTGGAAATATCTAAGTTCTATGTTTGGTTGTAGTATGTTGCACTGTAGACCCAAGCAAAGAATGTGTGTGCATGTGGATATGAACCAACAGTACTGCATGCGGTTCTGGTATTGAATTTCAGGCTTTCATTAGTCTTTTTTATTTAATTTTTTTTTTAGCCAGAGGTGACTAAAGGAAATGTCTCTTTAACTGTAGGCAGATATTTCTTATTATTTGTTATTCTTTTCTCTAATGATTAGAGAAATAATAATAATGGCCAACACATATTGAATATCTGCTGGAAGGCAAGCCTTATCTCACTGTACCTAAATTACTTTATTTAATCTTTATGAGTACCATGTGAGGTAGCTACTATTATTATTATCCACATTTCATACCAAATGTGGATAATAATAATCATAAGATGGAGGGAGGTAGTGTAACCTGCTCCAGATCACTTTGCTAAAAAGTGGCAGAACTGGGATTCAAACCTAGACAGTCTGTTGTGTTAAAGTCTATCTCAAGAATTTGAAATTCAGGTTAAACTTGGCTCCATTAAAGCATTAAAGGAGGTTGCTCGTCAGGAATGCCTTTTCCTTCCTTTTCAGTAGGGTCAAAGTTCTGCTCTGGGACCATGTATCTCCTTCCCAGTTCCTTAGGGTATTTCCTGGTGCCTGTCCCACTATTCCCTTTGGCGATGAAGTGTATCTTCCACATGAGCTGACTTGAAAATCCTCTCCCATTTGCAAAAACATAGACTCAAAGAAATTTTCTGTGTAGCACTTTTAAACATGCCTCCGTAGCTATAAATTGGCTTTTCTTCTTTTTTGGTTCAGGATTGTACTTCTGTGTTATAACTCCCTTTTATATGTCTTAAAAGAAGTTATCAATCATCTTCATGTTTACCGTTGTGTCTCTCACAAGAAAGTGTTGCATTACCTGAAGGAAGCGACCTTGGCATTTTCTTCTGTCTTCCCATAGGATGCTGTTCTTTGAGATCTCAATAAAGATGGCATCTGGTTCCCTTAAAACAAAAAAAAAAAAAAAAAAAAAGAGTCATTACCACTCCCTGGTCTCAAGTACCCAGGGACACAAACACTGCGGAAGGTCGCAGGGTCCTCTGCTTAGGAAAACCAGAGACCTTTGTTCACTTGTTTATCTGCTGACCTTCCCTCCACTATTGTCCTGTGACCCTGCCAAATCCCCCTCTGTGAGAAACACCCAAGAATGATCAATAAATACTAAAAAAAAAAAAAAAAAAAAAAAAAAAAAAAAAATTCCTAGGCAACATGGTTTGTCTGTGAGTTTGTCCAAATTATTGCAAATCTCAAAAATAAATTTCAACCTATCAACTGAAAAAAAATATGTAAATGGAGACCTGCACAGTTCAAACTCATGTTGTTCAAGGGTGAACTGTAGATTTCATTCTTCATTCCTTATTAGTTCAACTTCCCAAAATACTGGCTTATATGTCATGGGTTCACTTTCTCACCTTCTACTCACTTCTTAGCTACTTCATTGTTAATCTGCTTTTATTACTCTATTCAGCCATGTCTTGTTAAATTGCCAGTTCTCTCCACCTCAATAAATCCAAATGGCCATTTCAGTGTTATTTTCACTTGATCTCCTAAATTCAGTTGACACTGGTGTCTTGCCTGTAAATACTCTCTTCCATTGGCTTGGATGACACAACACTCTTGGTTTCCCATCTACATCTCTGGATTTGCCTGTTCCTGTCTCCGATTTAGAGTTCATCTTTTTTTTTCAACCTAAATGCTGAGGTCCCTCAAAGATAATTTCTTAGAATTCCTCTCTTAATTTTAACAAACACGTCCTTGATTTGCTATTATCCTGATGATTCTCTCAGTTCTATTTACAGCCTATATATCTCTTCTGAGCTCTCAACTTACATATTCTCCTACCTAGTAGACTACTTTATCTTTGAAATGTACCTGAACTCCACTTCTCCAAAACTGAACTCATGATCTGCTCTTTACTTCATATCTGACATTTCCCAATGACCTCAGTAAAGGTACTATCATTCCTATTGTTAACTTTTATCCCACATTACAAATTGATGACACTGAATGGCCCAGTAGAAGAAAATTATGGACATGCGTTTTTATTGCACTTGATTTTATTGTAACTCCACAGATATTGCATTTTTTACAAATTGAAGGTTTGTGGCATCTCTGTCCTACACATCTGTTGGCACTATTTTTCCAATAGCATGGTCTCATTTTGTGTAATTTTGTTAATTCTCACAATATTTCAAACTTTTTCATTATTATTATATCTGTTATGGTGATCTGTAATCAGTGATCTTTTTTGCTTATATTATTATTTCAATTTACATGATAATTGTACACATTTATGGCATACAGTGTGATATTTCCATAAATGTATACAATATATAAGGATCAAATCAGGGTAATAAACGTATCCATCACCTCAGACATTTATTATTTCTTTGTGTTAGGAACACGCTACTGTTGTAATTGGTTTGGGGCATCACAAACTGCCCACATAAGACCGTAATGAGGGTGGTACGTTCTGATTGTCCTACCCACTGGCTGTACTTCCGTCTCTCTCCCTCTCCTCAGGCCTCCCTATCCCTAGAGACACAACAGTATTAAAATTAGGCTAATTAATAGCCCTACAATGGCTAAATGCTCAAGTGAAAGGAAGAATTGTAAGTCTCTAACTTTAAATCAAAAGCTTTTGATTTAAAAGCTTTAAATCAAAATCAACAAGAAATGATTATACTTAATGAGGAAGGTATGGTGGAAGCAAATATAGGCCAAAAATTAGGCCTGTTGCAAAAAACAGCCAAGTTGTGAATATACAGAAATGATAAGAAAGAGAAACAGCCTTATTGCTGATATGGAGAAAGTTTTCATGGTCTTGATAGAAGATCAAGTCAGCCACAACATTCTTGTAAACCAAAATTGTAATCAAGAGCAAGACCTTAACTCTCTTTAATCCTATAAAGGCTGAGAGAGGGGAGGAAGTTACAGAAGATGTGTAAAGCTAGCAGAGGTTATTTCGTGAGGTTGAAGGAAGGAAACTGTCTCTATAACATCAAAGTGCTGGGTGAAGCAGCAAGTGCAGACTGATAGAGAAGCTTCAACAACATATTTTCGATGTAGACAAAACAGCCTTTTTTTGGAAGAAGATGCCATCTAACACTTTCTCAGCTAGAGAGGAGAAGTCAAGGCCTTGCTTCAGATTGTCAAAGGACAGGCTAACTCTTCTATGAGGAGATAATAAAACTGGTGACTTGAAGTGGAAGCCAATAATCATTTCCATTCTGAGAAGACTAGGAAACTTATGAATTATGTTACACGTATTACTGTGTTCTAAAAATGAAAAAACAAAGCCTGGGTGACAACACATCTCTTTACAACATGGTTTACTGAATATTTTAAGTCTACTTCTGAGAATTACTACTCACACACATATATATATATACAAAAATCCCTTCAAAATACTACTGCTAATAATTGACAATGTGCCCGGCCAGCCCGGAGGTCTGATGGAGACATACATGGAGTTTAATGTTGTTTACGTACCTGCTAACACAATATCCATTCTGCAGCCTATGAATCAACAAGTAATTTTGACTCTCATGTCTTATTATTTCTAAAATACATTTCATAAAGCCGTAACTGTCATAGATGGTAATCCCTCAGATGGATATGGGCAAAGTAAGTTGGAAACCTTCTGGAAAGGATTCACCATTCTAGGTGTCATTAAGAACATTCATGAGTCATGAGAGAAGGTCAAAATATCAACAACAGGAGTTTGGAAGAAGTGATTCCAACCCTCATGGATGACTTTGAGGTGTTCCAATACTTCCAGTCAAGGAAGTAACTGAAGATGTAATGAAAAGAGCAGGAGAACTAGAATTAGAAAGTGAGTTCAAAGATGGCACTGAACTTCTACAATCTCATGATAAATCTTAAATGGATGAGGAATTGCTTCTTATAGATCAGCAAAGAAAGTGGTTTCTTGAGGCGGAATATACTCTGGTGAAGTTGCTATCAGCATTGTTGAAATGACAACAAAGAATTTAGAATATTACGTATACTTAGTAGACTTAAAACTGACTCCAGTTTTAAGAGCAGTTCTAACGCAGGTAAAATGTCATCAAACAACATTTCACACTACAGATAAATACCACTTCCTTTTGTGAAAGGAAGACTCATTTGATGTGGCAAACTTCATTGTTGTCTTATTTTAAGAAATTGCCACAGCCACCGCCACCTTCAGCAATTGCCACCCTAATCAGTCAGCAGCCATCAACATTGAGGCAAGACCCTCAACTAGCAAAAAGAATCTAACCCACTGAAGGCTCAGATGATCAGTTGCTTTTTTTTTTAGCAATAAAGTATATTTGAATTAAGATTTATGTATTTTTAGACATAATTCTATTGTGCACTTATTAGGCTACAGTATAGTATAAACATAACTTTTTTTTTTTTTTGAGACAGAGTCTCGCTCTGTTGCCCAGGCTGGAGCGCAGTGGCGCAATCTCGGCTCACTGCAACCTCCGCCTCCCGGGTTCGCACCATTCTCCTGCCTCAGCCTCCAGAGTAGCTGGGACTACAGGCGCACGCAGCCACACCTGGCTAATTTTTTGTATTTTTAGTAGAGATAGGGTTTCACCGTGTTAGCCAGGATGGTCTTGATCTCCTGACTTCGTGATCTGCAAGCCTCTGCCTTCCAAAGTGCTGGGATTACAGGTGTGAACCACCGCGCCCGGCCCACTTTTTATATGAATTGGGAAAACAAAACATTTGTGTGATTTTTACTGTGATACTGTTTTATTGTGGTGGTCTGAAATCAAACGCACATTTTCTCCAAGGAATGCCTGTATACTTGTTTGAAAATGACTTAATTTGGAATAGACATTCTTGCTACATATAAAGATAAAGAATAATATTTACCTCTGGGGAATAGCCACTATCATAGTTTGACTAGAAAAACTGTAATTTCATTGGCAAGGATATTTCTTACAGTAAGTTCTTATCATTTCCATTTTGAAAAATATTGATGTAGATTGACCTCTCACTAAGAAATGCTACTTGTAATCCTCAAGTACTTTTGAAATTTAAGTACATTTCATTTTTGTGGCTTTGTAATCATCATCGTATTAAAGAATATTCTCAAATTATTTAAATAAAGTTAATTATAGATCAAATGAAACTATCTTTCAGTAGTTAATTTGCTAAAAACTAGTTGTTTCCAAGTCTTATTTAAATTTCTAACTTTTAAATAATGTATTTCAAGTAATTCTTTCCCAGATCTAGAACTAAGACAGTGTATTCATTCTATAAAATAAGCCCCTTAAGAAATGCCATTACTGTTCAGATTATTGATCTCAGCCTGCTGTCAGAGCCAAAGTGTTTAGCAAGACTATTTCAGGGACCTGAACAGGATATTTTTATTGGCAATGAGACAGCAGATTACCTACAGCTCAAATGGAAAGACCTAATGGCCAGGTGTGTATCATTCTAACATTCTATTGATGTGCAGTGCAGATGGTGAGACGTGCTGATGGATGAGGTTGTCTCAGCGGCAGAGTTGTCTTAGTCCTGCCAAGCACTTAAGTTGAACGACCTATTAAACATGGTTGACCTAAGGCAGTTGGAGATATTTATAAGTAACTACAGCTATTAAATGTGGACCTTCTAGTAGGCTCTAAATATAGCCTTTTTTTTTTTTCCACATAGCTTTGACTTCTAGTTCCTAAAGCCATTCATTCAAGTTGAATTGGGGAAGAGAAGGAGCAAAAAGAGAGATTTGCAGAATATTTGTAAACAAAATAACACTGGAATACTGAAAGAAGTTATAGCATGAACTAAATAAAAATTTTCAGGAGGTAACATTGATATGAAATACTAATTTAAATTAAAAATTTGAATTATCTAAAATTTTTTAAAAATAAACTCAGGTTCTATGTAGAACCTAGGGTTTGCTATCAAATAATAACTTTCCCTCTGTTTCTACTCTACAGAAGACAAGTTAGTAGAAAAGTACACTGGATTCTAAGTTATGGTAGTTGGGTAATTGTGTCATCCACATTTTGGAGGTGTCAGTTTCCTCATTTGTAAAATTAGAGTTAGTAGATGTAAACTTTTTCTTACAAACTATTAACTTTTGCTTTTCTGTTCCATTTCACACATCAATATTTATTGAGTCTTACTTAGAACTCCTGTGTATAAAATAGAATAGTACTTAATATTTAGGTTCTTAGATATGGGTTTTTTCATAACACTTATATGACCTTCTATCTAACTAATCTGTAAGTATCATAAGGTCAATAATTATTGTTTTTTTGCTCATTTATTTATTTCAAGCACTTTTACATATAGTAAACACCTAACATTTGTCAAATAATGATTAAATGAAACAACACGTGTAAAGTGCTTAGCACAGTAATTGGCACAAAGTATTTGATAAATGGTCCTATAAATGGTTCTGATAAGTGGTTTTATTAACACCCACAGTGCCATCTCACTAAGATAGTTGGAAGAAGTTGGGATATTTCAAAGAGAAGTTGGAGAGTACTGAGGACCACACTGTTGTTCCCAAATATTTGAAAGAGCATCACATGTTACTTTTAAAGAAAAAAAAATGGGCCAAGAGGCAGAAACTACAGGGAGACAGTTTTAAAATTTGGAGTAAGGAAGACCTAACAAAACTGCTCAAAAATGAAATGATGTTCAAGTAAATGTCGAATTACTAAATAGCCAGTTAATGGGGGGATAAAAGAAATCTAACTAGAGGCTATAAATTTAGTATTCCATGAATTAAACGATATGGAAAGAACTCTATGTTTATCATATACAAAATAAATCTTAAAATACCCAAAATATAAAATTTTGCAATGCTTCTGGAAATAAAATCATACATGGAAAATGGCAAATATTGTAAAAGCCAATCTATTTACTTAGTGTACATGGGATCAAAGAACAATTTGCTTTTTGGCAAATACACCATATGACTGAAAACAAATGCTGCTGATTTTTCTTATTAATGCTTGCAAATGGAGCAGATAGGAATCATGGAATTCTTTATTCCCTATCAGAAAAACAGAACTACTTAAAGCCAGATTTTTTTTCTTTTCTGTTCTTTTTACTGCAGTGGTAACACTGCACTTCAGAATACAATATAAGAATATTGGCAGTTGGCATGTTCGTGGGTTGTCTGAAACTAACTGGTGCATTATTCCTGCCAAGTAGCAATGATTTTGACAAAATGTATGACATTGATAAAAAAGGAATCTCACTCAATATCATTTTTATTGAAGGATGTATGACCTCATACCAAAATAGCCCCATCAATCTATTGCCATCAGATCAGACAGAAAAGAATTGGGTACATAAAATGGCTGTCATAAAATATATCTCAGCTGCAGCTAAGTCTGATCACAGATGGTCAGTTAAGCATTTGGAAAATGAAGGAAGTATGTTTCCCTTAATAAGCCATCAAAAGTTAATAACAAGTGACTTGGCTCTCTATTTGGGGCAGAAATCCTGAGAAAGATGCAGTGGTTTCTAAGGTTTTTGCTGTTCTTTATATTGGCTACATGTTAATAAAAAGATATACGGTACATAATGTTTTAAAGGTATGCAATGAAGAAGCAGCTTCCCTACCACTTATGACTTCCAGGGTTACCATCTCAAAAGTGCACCTCATTCACACATTCAAAACTACAGTGTTGTCTTACTAATTATGATAGTCAATTTTATGTGTCTAGTGCCTGGGCTATGAGTAGTGCCCAGACATTTTAACAGACATTATTCTGCCTGTTTCTGTGAGATTGTTCTGGATGAGATTAACGTTTGAAGCAGTAAACTGAGTAAAGCAGATAGCCCTCTCTAATATGGATGGACTTCAAACAATCAACTGAAGACCTGAATAGTATTAAAAGGCTAAGAGGTAATGTTTTTTGCCTGATAGCATGAGATGGACATTGGTCTTTTTCAGCCTTCAGACTTGGACTGAAACATTGGCTCATCTTGAATTGCAAGCCTACCAACTTTCAGACTGCAACTTAATATTATCAACTCTCATGGTTCTAAAACCTTTGGACTTGGATTGAAACTACACATTGGCTCTCTTGGGTCTTTAATCACATGAACCAATTCCTTGTAGTAAATCTCATATGTGTATATATATACATATGTATACACACACACACACAAATTTATACATACGTATATATATGTGCAGGACACATATATGAATATTTTTTATTATATATGTATAAACTTTTGGTTTTATTTCTCTGGAGAATTTGACTAATACACTGATTCAGCCACAACAACAGGGAGTGTGCTGAGTTGTGTCAATCAAGTGAATTATCCAGATAATTAAAGTCAATCTCTGTAGATGCTAGTATTTTAGTATCTTGTCTAGAAACAATGTAGGTCACCAGACACCTACATTTTTGTGATATAAAATAACAAGCCAATTTTCTAATGCTTTAAAAATGTGCCCTGAAAGTAATCCCTCACTTTCAAACCCAAAATTCTATGATTCTACATTATAAACCAAGCTCATGTAGTCATTCTCAAAATCAGTTTTAAAAGCAACTGTGAGTTTGAGTCATGTTTACTTTCCAAGTGAATTACTCAAGGATATAAAAATCCATTTCATTACCTTACAGTCATGGTTTTTAGGACTTAAAGATGCATCATCTTCATTTGTTGATTCCTTTTACTATTAATCAGCACATGGCGGATCTACTTATTTCCCATGATTTTCTCCAGGCACAGGTGCATTATGAAATTTAAGCTCTATTTCCACTGCACAGACTAAGCTTTGAAAGAATTTTTTATTGTACACTAAAAGCTACCCTTCGGTGCTGCCAAATTCCTGGTATTAACTCCATGTAAATTTTCTTATCATCACTCACCTGCCCAGAAGCAGAAATTCTCCCACTAGACCCAGGCGCCTCATGGCCATCAGCAGACCTCTCACCGTCATGCCCTCACAGAAGTAGGCCACCACCCGGGCCTTGGGCAAGTGACTTGTGAGCTTCTTCAGCAGCTTATCAAAGCTCTGCTCCCCTGCATTACTGTAGATTTTGTAAGAGTGGGCGATGCAAATCCCTTCCTTCGCTGACATATCTTTGAAGGCTTCCATCCCACTTTCTCCATAGTTGCCTGTGTGAAAACATAGATAAGCAGAGGGATAGTGAAATGAGAGTGTTGCATTAATTGGGTATAATCAGAATGCAGGTGTTAGGAGCATGAAAGTCATTGGTATGGGACTTGCAACCTGAAGACCTGAATTTTGGTTTTTGATCTTTTGCTGAATTGCTTATTTTGGGCAAATTACAATTGAACCACATTATATATGCATTGATCATTTATATTTTCACTGTGATGGAGAGAATAATATAAACAGTGTAAGCAATTCATCATCCTTTTATGACTCAAAATAGCTCTTATTCTAAATATGAGTTGATGGAAATATTTATCTGCTTTTTTTTTTGCATTCTATCTCACTTCCCTTTATTTCTCATTGATGACAATTTCATCCCACTGAGATTTTTGTATTTAAAGCTATAGTACATACAAGTAATACATGTAGTTTATATAGTATATATGTTGCCATATAAATATTTTATAAAGTATTATACTATATATAATATTCAGTATATTATATACTTATAATCATGAGAATTTATGGTTTGGTCTTAAATGAAAAACTGAGATCCTTGCTTAAGATTTAGTCTTGCCACAGATGAATGTGTAAACTTATGAAAAACATTTACAGTTTTATCCTATACAACCATGGGGAAGTTATTGATAAGGATAAAAAGTTCAAAGTCTTTTGCAAAATTTGGGGACTAAGGACTAATGTTAGTCTTTTAAAATTAATGAAAAAGGGGGATTAATATTGACAGTCAGCTATATGCCAGGACACAAGGACCTTTATATATGTGATCTAATTTAGCACTCACAATAAAATATCGATGTAGATATTATGAGCTCCATTCCATACATAGATCAGAAAACAGATAGAGCAGTTAGGTCCATATTTACCTTGAGTTACACTAGCAGTAAGTGGAGGGCTGAACTCCATTCACAGATCTAATAGCATAGGTCCTGCTCCCTCTACTTGTCCAAGGCTGACTCTTAGGAGTCTCAGAATTCTAATTACATCCGCATTTCTCTTTCCCATTTCAGCATGACAATTCTCCAATTTTAGATATTTTTGGAACATTTTAAGGCTCTATATTTTATACAGGGCTTATATTCTGAATTTTCAAAATATTAGATATATGAGGGGGATTGCTTTGAAGAATACAAGAGGCTATTACAAGATAACCAAGCTGTAGAACATATAAGGATGAGACTGACCTAAAAATCAACTTGACCTAGGAACTGGAATCTCATCAGGAAGAGTAGATATCAAATTAATAGGAGCACTGTGGGCATTCAGTTGCATAGGGTTCACTATATGTCTATAACTGCAATAAATACAACTCCACAACAATTTGATTTTGGGAAAGTCAGTTTATATATGTTAGCTCACTGCTCCTTACAACAACTCTGTGATAAAGGTTAATGTTATCTCCCCTTGGCTGATAAAACTGAAGTTCAAATACAGATAGTAGGTGTCAGGATCTTAGTTTGAACATATATCTCTGATTCCTGTCCTGATGTGGGTGTTACCATACCACAGGTACCTTGCTGCCTATGAAATCTGTTAACTTTGAGGGTGGATTTTGGTGAAGCTTTATCTCCGTGAACAAACTGCAAAGGGCAGAGCAGAGCAGGTCAGCTTGAGTCTCAGCCAAAAATACTGGTGGGCCAGCTGCATCTTTTCCCTCCTTCTCCAGAATTAAAAGCAACAAGAAGCCTCTGTCATGATGGCAGGTGGGCAATCTAGTTATTTTGCAATTAACAAAGTTTAAAGGGCACTTTCTGAAAAATGTGCCAATGGGCCTAAATTACTACCAGTTTTACACTAATGTGAGTAATCTATTATTCTTTGATTTATTTTTAGCTAACTCTGTTTTTCAACAGACTGTCTTGCATTTCATGTTTTGATTTAATGCAGAGGCATTTGCATAAATAATTTGAAATTAGGTATAGTGATTGTGATGTGAATTTATTGAGAATTTCACATCATTTATTTACTTTTATTCTCAATACATTCACTGTTAAACAGAAAAGACATCTAACAAATTCAGATTATTTAGCACTTTGTTCCTAACAGCTTTAACACTGTTTTTGTTTATACAATATGTTGTAGAGAAGCAGCTTGAAATAGTGGAGAGAACTTTGTTATTAGAGAAACCTGAGTTCAACTTCAGTTTATATAGTCTTTGTAATCTCAGCTTTCTGAAGTAACACAGCTTAATATTCAGATATTTTAATATTATATTTAATGTATGCAAACTATCTGGTAGGTCACCTGAACCCAATTAATTGAACCTACTGAAATTATAAAGAATATTCTAGACAGAGTTTAGCTACTCTTTACTGGAGCATCCAAAACAAACAGTGGAGCAAATGGCACTATTACTGTACACTAGACTAAAAAAATAAGCTTACACTAGCAGAATAAAGTATTATTTTCCCAGAGAAAATCTCAAGCTGTACTCTTTAAAATTAAAAAAGGCAGGGGGTATATGAAAAATTTTCACTCAATTTTGCAGTGAATCAAAAACTGCTCTAAGAAAGAAAGTTTACTTTAAACATTTAAATAAGAAACAGCTTTAATACATGTGTGACATAAAAATTTTACAGAATATAATTTTTATTTAACAAAAGAAATCCTTTGTAAGCTGGGAGACAAAGAGAATATGTCTTCCAATAAAATGGAAAAGACTGAAGATGGCCGAATAGGAACAGCTCCAGTCTACAGCTCCCAGCGTGAGCGACGCAGAAGACGGGTGATTTCTGCATTTCCATCTGAGGTACCGGGTTCGGGTTCATCTCACTAGGGAGTGCCAGTGGGCGCAGGCCAGTGGGTGCGCGCACCCTGCGCGAGCCGAAGCAGGGCGAGGCATTGCCTCACCTGGGAAGCACAAGGGGTCAGGGAGTTCCCTTTCCGAGTCAAAGGAAGGGGTGACAGACGCACCTGGAAAATCGGGTCACTCCCACCTGAATATTGCGCTTTTCAGACCAGCTTAAAAAACGGTGCACCACGAGACTATATCCCACACCTGGCTCAGAGGGTCCTACGCCCACGGAATCTCGCTGATTGCTAGCACAGCAGTCTGAGATCAAACTGCAAGGCAGCAGCGAGGCTGGGGGAGGGGCACCCGCCATTGCCCAGGCTTGCTTAGGTAAACAAAGCAGCCGGGAAGCTCGAACTGGGTGGAGCCCACCACAGCTCAAGGAGGCCTGCCTGCCTCTGTAGGCTCCACCTCTGGGGGCAGGGCACAGACAAACAAAAAGACAGCAGTAACCTCTGCAGACTTAAATGTCCCTGTCTGACAGCTTTGAAGAGAGCAGTGGTTCTCCCAGCATGCAGCTGGAAATCTGAGAACGGGCAGACTGCCTCCTCAAGTGGGTCCCTGACCCCTGACCCCCGAGCAGCCTAACTGGGAGGCACCCCCCAGCAGGGGCACACTGACACCTCACATGGCAGGGTATTCCAACAGACCTGCAGCTGAGGGTCCTGTCTGTTAGAAGGAAAACTAACAAACAGAAAGGACATCCACACCAAAAACCCATCTGTACATCACCATCATCAAAGACCAAAAGTAGATAAAACCACAAAGATGGGGAAAAAACAGAACAGAAAAACTGGAAACTCTAAAACGCAGAGCATCTCTCCTCCTCCAAAGGAACGCAGTTCCTCACCAGCAACAGAACAAAGCTGGATGGAGAATGATTTTGATGAGCTGAGAGAGGAAGGCTTCAGACGATCAAATTACTCTGAGCTACGGGAGGACATTCAAACCAAAGGCAAAGAAGTTGAAAACTTTGAAAAAAATTTAGAAGAATGTATAACTAGAATAACCAATACAGAGAAGTGCTTAAAGGAGCTGATGGAGCTGAAAACCAAGGCTCGAGAACTACGCGAAGAATGCAGAAGCCTCAGGAGCCGATGCAATCAACTGGAAGAAAGGGTATCAGCAATGGAAGATGAAATGAATGAAATGAAGCGAGAAGGCAAGTTTAGAGAAAAAAGAATAAAAAGAAATGAGCAAAGCCTCCAAGAAATATGGGACTATGTGAAAAGACCAAATCTACGTCTGATTGGTGTACCTGAAAGTGATGCGGAGAATGGAACCAAGTTGGAAAACACTCTGCAGGATATTATCCAGGAGAACTTCCCCAATCTAGCAAGGCAGGCCGACGTTCAGATTCAGGAAAAACAGAGAACGCCACAAAGATACTCCTCGAGAAGAGCAACTCCAAGACACATAATTGTCAGATTCACCAAAGTTGAAATGAAGGAAAAAATGTTAAGGGCAGCCAGAGAGAAAGGTCGGGTAACCCTCAAAGGGAATCCCATCAGACTAACAGCGGATCTCTCAGCAGAAACCCTACAAGCCAGAAGAGAGTGGGGGCCAATATTCAACATTCTTAAAGAAAACAATTTTCAACCCAGAATTTCATATCCAGCCAAACTAAGCTTCATAAGTGAAGGAGAAATAAAATACTTTACAGACAAGCAAATGCTGAGAGATTTTGTCACCACCAGGCCTGCCCTAAAAGAGCTCCTGAAGGAAGCGCTAAACATGGAAAGGAACAACCGGTACCAGCCGCTGCAAAATCATGCCAAAATGTAAAGACCATCGAGACTAGGAAGAAACTGCATCAACTAATGAGCAAAATCACCAGCTAACATCATAATGACAGGATCAAATTCACACATAACAATATTAACTTTAAATGTAAATGGACTAAATGCTCCAATTAAAAGACACACACTGGCAAGTTGGATAAAGAGTCAAGACCCATCAGTGTGCTGTATTCAGGAAACCCATCTCACGTGCAGAGACACACATAGGCTCAAAATAAAAGGATGGAGGAAGATCTACCAAGCCAATGGAAAACAAAAAAAGGCAGGGGTTGCAATCCTAGTCTCTGATAAAACAGACTTTAAACCAACAAAGATCAAAAGAGACAAAGAAGGCCATTACATAATGGTAAAGGGATCAATTCAACAAGAGGAGCTAACTATCCTAAATATACATGCACCCAATACAGGAGCACCCAGATTCATAAAGCAAGTCCTGAGTGACCTACAAAGAGACTTAGACTCCCACACATTAATAATGGGAGACTTTAACACCCTACTGTCAACATTAGACAGATCAACGAGACAGAAAGTCAACAAGGATACCCAGGAATTGAACTCAGCTCTGCACCAAGTGGACCTAATAGACATCTACAGAACTCTCCACCCCAAATCAACAGAATATACATTTTTTTCAGCACCACACCACACCTATTCCAAAATTGACCACATAGTTGGAAGTAAAGCTCTCCTCAGCAAATGTAAAAGAACAGAAATTATAACAAACTATCTCTCAGACCACAGTGCAATCAAACTAGAACTCAGGATTAAGAATCTCACTCAAAACCACTCAACTACATGGAAACTGAACAACCTGCTCCTGAATGACTACTGGCTACATAACGAAATGAAGGCAGAAATAAAGATGTTCTTTGAAACCAACGAGAACAAAGACACCACATACCAGAATCTCTGGGACGCATTCAAAGCAGTGTGTAGAGGGAAATTTATAGCACTAAATGTCCACAAGAGAAAGCAGGAAAGATCCAAAATTGACACCCTAACATCACAATTAAAAGAACTAGAAAAGCAAGAGCAAACACATTCAAAAGCTAGCAGAAGGCAAGAAATAACTAAAATCAGAGCAGAACTGAAGGAAATAGAGACACAAAAAACCCTTCAAAAAATCAATGAATCCAGGAGCTGGTTTTTTGAAAGGATCAACAAAATGAATAGACCACTAGCAAGACTAATAAAGAAGAAAAGAGAGAAGAATCAAATAGACACAATAAAAAATGATAAAGGGGATATCACCACCGATCCCACAGAAATACAAACTACCATCAGAGAATACTACAAACACCTCTACGCAAATAAACTAGAAAATCTAGAAGAAATGGATACATTCCTCGACACATACACTCTCCCAGGACTAAACCAGGAAGAAGTTGAATCTCTGAATAGACCAATAACAGGAGCTGAAATTGGGGTAATAATCAATAGTTTACCAACCAAAAAGAGTCCAGGACCAGATGGATTCACAGCCGAATTATACCAGAGGTACAAGGAGGAAATGGTACCATTCCTTCTGAAACTATTCCAATCAATAGAAAAAGAGGGAATCCTCCCTAACTCATTTTATGAGGCCAGCATCATTCTGATACCAAAGCCGGGCAGAGACACAACCAGAAAAGAGAATTTTAGACCAATATCCTTGATGAACATTGATGCAAAAATCCTCAATAAAATACTGGCAAAACGAATCCAGCAGCACATCAAAAAGCTTATCCACCATGATCAAGTGGGCTTCATCCCTGGGATGCAAGGCTGGTTCAATGTATGCAAATCAATAAATGTAATCCAGCATATAAACAGAGCCAAAGACAAAAACCACATGATAATCTCAATAGATGCAGAAAAGCCTTTGACAAAATTCAACAACCCTTCATGCTAAAAACTCTCAATAGATTAGGTATTGATGGGACGTCTTTCAAAATAACAAGAGCTATCTATGACAAACCCACAGCCAATATCATACTGAATGGGCAAAAACTGGAAGCATTCCCTTTGAAAACTGGCACAAGACAGGGATGCCCTCTCTCACTGCTCCTATTCAACATAGTGTTGGAAGTTCTGGCCAGGGCAATTAGGCGGGAGAAGGAAATAAAGGGTATTCAATTAGGAAAAGAGGAAGTCAAATTGTCCCCGTTTGCAGACGACATGATTGTTTATCTAGAAAACCCCATCATCTCAGCCCAAAATCTCCTTAAGCTGATAAGCAACTTCAGCAAAGTCTCAGGATACAAAATCAATGTACAAAAATCACAAGCATTCTTATACACCAACAACAGACAAACAGAGAGCCAAATCATGAGTGAACTCCCATTCACAATTTCTTCAAAGAGAATAAAATACCTAGGAATCCAACTTACCAGGGATGTGAAGGACCTCTTCAAGGAGAACTACAAACCACTGCTCAAGGAAATAAAAGAGGATACAAACAAATGGAAGAACATTCCAAGCTCATGGGTAGGAAGAATCAATATCGTGAAAATGGCCATACTGCCCAAGGTAATTTACAGATTCAATGCCATCCCCATCAAGCTACCACTGCCTTTCTTCACAGAATTGGAAAAAACTACTTTACAGTTCATATGGAACCAAAAAAGAGCCCGCATCGCCAAGTCAATCCTAAGCCAAAAGAACAAAGCTGGAGACATCACACTACCTGACTTCAAACTATACTACAAGGCTACAGTAAACAAAACAGCATGGTACTGGTACCAAAACAGAGATATAGATCAATGGAACAGAACAGAGCCCTCAGAAATAATGCCACATACCTACAACTATCTGATCTTTGACAAACCTGAGAAAAACAAGCAATGGGGAAAGGATTCCCTATTTAATAAATGGTGCTGGGAAAAGTGGCTAGCCATATGTAGAAAGCTGAAACTGGATCCCTTCCTTACACCTTATACAAAAATCAATTCAAGATGGATTAAAGATTTAAACATTAGACCTAAAACCATAAAAACCCTAGAAGAAAACCTAGGCATTACCATTCAGGACATAGGCATGGGCAAGGACTTCATGTCTAAAACACCAAAAGCAATGGCAACCAAAGCCAAAATTGACAAATGGGATCTAATTAAACTAAAGAGCTTCTGCACAGCAAAAGAAACTACCATCAGAGTGAACAGGCAACCTACAACATGGGAGAAAATTTTCGCAACCTACTCATCTGACAAAGGGCTAATATCCAGAATCTACAATGAACTCAAACAAATTTACAAGAAAAAAACAAACAACCCCATCAAAAAGTGGGCGAGGGACATGAACAGACACTTCTCAAAAGAAGACATTTATGCAGCCAAAAAACACATGAAAAAATGCTCATCATCACTGGCCATCAGAGAAATGCAAATCAAAACCACTATGAGATATCATCTCACACCAGTTAGAATGGCAATCATTAAAAAGTCAGGAAACAACAGGTGCTGGAGAGGATGTGGAGACATAGGAACACTTTGACACTGTTGGTGGGACTGTAAACTAGTTCAACCATTGTGGAAGTCAGTGTGGTGATTTCTCAGGGATCTAGAACTAGAAATACCATTTGACCCAGCCATCCCATTACTGGGTATATACCCAAATGACTATAAATCATGCTGCTATAAAGACACATGCACACGTATGTTTATTGTGGCATTATTCACAATAGCAAAGACTTGGAACCAACCCAAATGTCCAACAATGATAGACTGGATTAAGAAAATGTGGCACATATACACCATGGAATACTATGCAGCCATAAAAAATGATGAGTTCATGTCCTTTGTAGGGACATGGATGAAATTGGAAATCATCATTCTCAGTAAACTATCGCAAGAACAAAAAACCAAACACCGCATATTCTCACTCATAGGTTGGAATTGAACAATGAGATCACATGGACACAGGAAGGGGAATATCACACTCTGGGGACTGTGGTGGGGAGGGGGGAGGGGGGAGGGATAGCATTGGGAGATATACCTAATGCTAGATGACGAGTTAGTGGGTGCAGCGCACCAGCATGGCACATGTTTACATATGTAACTAACCTGCACAATGTGCACATGTACCCTAAAACTTAAAGTATAATTAAAAAAAATAAATAATAATAATAATAGTAATAATAATAAAAAAATGGAAAAGACTGAAGTGTTGAAACTTTCTGGTAGTTGATAGAAACACTGTATTCTATAATTATACATTTTAAAATAATGAAAAAAGTGCAGCAAAAAAAAAGTCTACAGGCTTCTCAAATAAGAATAGAACACATTTCAAGTAATATGTAGAATGGGGAAAAAGCTAAGGAAGCAACTATTACTTTTTCCAATAGAGGGAAACTAGTAACTGAGAAAGAAAGCTGTGGTATAAAATATGAAACTAACATGTGACTTCATTTTAAACAATAAATAGAAGTAAGACAGAATCCATAGAACGTTCTTCTTTAGGTAGCAGAGGGTTTACAACTTGGAATTATGTGGAGAAAATGTAATCATAGCCCAATGTCTTCACTCATAGCTCACACTACTTACAGGTATAATGATGCAAATGTCACTCATTGATTTTCAACCTTAAGAATCCACCTATAGACAAATGGAAAAACTCATTATGCAATAAAATACATTTGTTATCAACTTTTACAATGACAATTAAAGAGAAAGATGATGGAGGCTGAGAGGTAGATGCAGGGAAAGTTGTTGGGAAGAGGAAGGCCATTAAATCACCCACTCCCAATTTGGAAGTCAAGATATACAGAAAATAAAATGTATGTGATTAAGGGAATTATTGGATGCTAAAATAATCAGGAGGCAGCTAATGTAGTGAGAGAATTATATTAAAAGAAGGAATAAGAAGATGTACAAGGTAAGAGATAATGTCTATAGTCATTTAAAAGTAGTTACTTTTTAAAAAGACATATTCATATTAGAGATATGGAGGTGAAAATAAAAGGATGAAAAACTAAAACACTTGTTTTTCACTTTAAGCCCTGCTGTACTATTTGACTTTTAAAAATATGAAAATATACATTTAATGAAAAAAATAAACTAGCATAGTTAAAAGTCATTGAAAGGAGAGAGTTGATGCAGATAATTTTAAAAGTAATTGTCTTCTCTCTGCTTTATCATTTTATCCTGTTTTAGGGATAAAACTCACAGAAGTTCTTTATATGCTACTCTTGGTGGAAATGTAAATTAGTACACCCATTAATAGAAAACTTCGTGGAAGTTCCTCAACAAAACTAAAAATAGAATTATTATATGATATAGCACCCCTACCTCCGGCTACCTTTCCAGCTAATTTTAATTGCACTCCCACGTTCATGGCAGCATTATTTACAAAAGCCAAGTTATATCCATCAACAGATAAATGAATTAAAAAATGTGGTGTATATATATACCCAATGAAATACTAGTCAGCCTAAAAACCCTAAAAAATGGGTTTAAAAAGAAAAATTTCTGCCATTTGCAACAACAGTATATTATTCACTTTTGTACCGCTAATGAGACCTGTTAGATAACTAACACATGTTGAATAAATAAATAAATTATTGAATGAGCAGTACAAAATAATGAATGTCTATTTCCAGATTAAAATAATTGCCCAACTATGTGACCAGCAATCAGGATTGCCACATCGTGTCTAGGGGGCACCACTCTAATAAGCTATTATAAAATATTTCACTTAAAACATGAACAGAGTTGCACAATAATCAAAATATTTACCCTGAGTACCCCAGTTTTTTCCTCAGATCATAACAGATTTTAATAATTCAACCTCAAATAGTGTTTAAAGCTAGTGCTTTCACTAATACTATTTGACCTGAATTGCATCAGCTGGGATCTGGAAGTATCTGCCTACATTGACCCTATAAAGCACACATTGGAAACAGGATTTGTTAAAGAGTAACTTTAAAACTTTCTTCTGTAACAGAGACTGGGGACCCCAAAAGGGAAGAGGGTAGGAAGGGAGTAAGGGTTGAAAAATTATTTATTGCGTACAATGTTCACATCTGGGTGATGGGTACACTACAAGCCTCAAATCCAACAAAGGGCAATATACCTATGTAACAAACCTGCACATGAACACCCTGGATATAAAATTAAATTAAATTAAATAATAAAAAACTTTCTGCTAACCTAGGAAAAAATTTTTATTTGAACTGTACGTTAAAAGGCACCAAATCATACTTTAGTAAGTAATTTGTAATCACAGGTAAATGCTATTTCAGATGGTACAAATTCAATATCATTAACAACTGTGTAACAGTGGCCACTTTAAGATAAAGATAATAAAGTACAACAGCATAGACAAGGTATACCTAGTGAGATATTCATTTTTCTAGCAAAATAGCCATTAAATATATTGTTTAAATTTATCCATCTCATGTGTTAGGGAAAACTATCATTAGAATCAAAATCAAACTATTATAATTATAGTAAAGATACAAGTAATTTTGTTTTCTTTGATACTTTTCTTTTTTTTCATAGTATCTTTACTTCTCTTTCCATAAATCAGACCCCGATTCACTGCATAGAAGCTTGTATACTATTTTCTCTATCATCTCTTATTTTTCATTTTCCCAAACCCTACCAACCACTATTTATTGTTTTGTACTTTTTACTATACTCTTTCATATGTATCATAGACACCCCACATACTCTCATTTATTTATTTTTACTAATGCTGTTCTTTTACGTGGAATACCTTTTTCCATGTTGTACAAATTCAATTCCCTAGATTCCTTTAGGATGGAGACTACATCTTCTCCATAGTGCCATTGTTTAATTACAGTATTTGTATAATCGCTGTAATTTGTAATTGCTAAAAAAGTTTATAATTGTGGATCCTTCACCTTTATAACAAGGCTGATTATACTCATGATTTATTTGATGCTGAAAACTTGGTTAAAAATATAAACCATGATGTTGAATTTTTTCCTTAGGAAACATAACTCACTTTAAATAATGTGTTTTATCATGGGATTTCTAAAATGCCTCAGAGTCAGGAAATGAGTTAAGGTACTGAGTATTATAATAAATTAGGCTTAAATTAAAATAGATATTCTATATTATATATGTTGCCTGTTGCATATATTCATTATATTTTGGATGTATTTACACATCCTTCTTTTCAAAACTGTGAGCCCATAGAGGGTAGTTAATGCTTTATTTAACTACATATCATCACATGGTAGGTACTTACGTATTTCTTGTACAGAAAAGTAGTACAGAAAAATAGGCAAAAAAATTTTGGAAGAGTAAATACATTTTTCTAAGCAGAACACCAAGCAGATGCTAAAAGAACGTGGAAAATACTTTTTCAGAAAGTATTCACTTCAGGAAATACTAAATCTTTGCAAAGAAAATGAATAAGTTTAACCTTCTACAATAGAACTTTATTTTCCATCTTAGTTGGTCCAAATTATCTTTTTCTCGCAAGGAAATTAAGATTCCCAATATAAACAATTATTTTAAAGTATATTTCAAGTGGCTTTAACTATTAATATCCTGTTGCTACTGTAAACACAGTTCATTTTACTGACAACTACTAGTGAAGTAAAACTCAGTCATTTCTCATGTGAGTTGTGACATTAGTCTGGCATGATATCATCCCCTAAATATACATATAAGCAGTGTCCAGTCTCCACTTCGTGTCCTTTAATGTGAATTAGAAGTGTTCATCAAGAGATCTTGGCCCAAACTGCCCATATTGACAGGGTTGTGGCTTAAACTAGTGATTAACCAAAATGGCCAGGAGTGGGAAAAGCTTGACAGTGAAGCACCTCTTCTTATTTTATTAACAGTTTCATAAAGATGTTCTTTTGTTTGATGCCATTTTTCCCACTACAGCCATATGTGCAATGGATGTGACATTCTAAACTCTGTATTACACTCATTTGTTTATATTTATTTCCTGTTACTAGACAGTGTTCTTTAATGCAGATATTTCTATCTTCACAACAAAACATTGTATATACATATTTTATGCAAATAAAGAAGGAAGTTAAATGATGCAAGAAATGTGTATACATATTTTTATGGAAAGAAAGAAGGAAGTTAAATGATCCAAGAAATATTCCTAAAAATTCCTATATAATTGAGATTTAGGTGTTTAGGAACCTGGACATATGATTAACGTGAAAGTTTTAAAGCCAAAGGACTGGAAGAAAAAGTTATCATTATCATGCACCTTCATCAAGGTACCTGAACTATAAATGTCATGGATATGAAAACTTTGCTAACAAACAGTTTTCCAAGTTTTGAACAATGGCCCAATTATTTCTCATCCTGCCCTGGAGTCTTTCTATAACATGACCCATATACCACAGCATTAAGCATTAGGCACGGCATTATTGAATCTCATCCAAGGTGTTTATTATTGGAAGTACCAGAAGGATCTCATTTAGAAAATTTGCTTTAGTTATTACTCTAGGAATGGATTATGTAGTAACATTTGATGAGCTCTTCAACAGTAAATTAAGCAGAACACAAATTGCTAGTATAATTATGTAATAAATATAGAGAAGTTATAAGTTTATAACTATGCATAGCCCCACTCATGGGTTTTAAACTATATGTATAAAACATTATTTAAAGGAATACCAACCAGGGCTACTGAATATTGCCATAAAAGTATATGCCAAGTGTTTTGCTGAGTGGTATGCTGAGTTGGTGAACTTTTCTTCTGGCTATCAAGTATGGAGTTAGAGAAAGAAGTTTGATCTTAAGAGCAAAGGTACATGTTGATCAAATAAATTTAGATATGGCAGAAAACAGGAAATCAGATTATTTAAAGAAGAATATGTGACAGTTTTAACTGCCATACATGTTGAGGACAACAAGTTTGAGTGTCATATTTGGTTTGGTAGATTCCTGAGCCCTGGAATCAAAAGTTGATTTTCAACATGTATCTACTTCCTCCAGCAACTCTAGTTCATATAATTGGGTTGAATGAGCTGATACAAACAAAATTGAAAGAAAACCAAATTTGGAAAGAAATTTTTAAATTTCTGTGAAATAGCCAAGTAGACATGCCAAGTAGGAAATTAAATAAGAACATTCTGGCTAAGAGAATAGAAGTCTGAGTTGGAACTATTTGGGAGTCCTCAGAATATGGATAGCAACAATAATAGATAAAAGTGTAGGAAGTGAAGGAAAGAGATCTCTGAGTTATACCCTAAAGAATTCAAATATGTGTGCATTAACTGAGAAGGAATAGCTCACAAAGACAATGAAGAAGAAGAAGAGAAACCAAGATAATATATTCTTATGGAAATCAGGAAAAGAAACTGTTTTTACATTCTTTTTTTAAAAACATTTACTCTGTTGAAAACTAAAGTAAGATGTGTAGTGAAAAAAATCCACTAATTCTGGCAACATAGTAGAAGATATATAGGAGTAGGCTTGTGTGAATGGGAGTAAAAAAAGTGAAGACAATATATTTATACAACTTTTTTGAGACACTTGGCAGTGAACAAGAGCTAAGAGTATGGTGGTGATTAGAAGAGAATCTGGAAATTCAAGAAGTTTTGTTTGCTCATATTAAGAAGGGGTTATTTTAGGTAAAGTACTTAGCCCAGAGCATGGAACAGAGTACGCACTGAATACACGATTTTTTAAATAATCATCATCATCACCATCCTCAACATTTATCTAGATCCTGTAAAATTATTTGGTAAAAGGTTAATAATAATATGAACAAATTATTGCACTATTCACTCCAAATGTGTTATTATTAAAACCAACCAACCTAATGAAGTTGCTATTATTTCCCACATTTCTAAGAAGGTGTTGATGCTGAAAGAATTTGCCAAATAATTGACAGCTTGTAAATAGAAGAGCTGAAATTTCAACCCTCATTCTGTCAAATTTCAAAGCCCATTCTCTTTGCCTTCCATATATTGTTACTCTTAAGACACTGGGTAAAAATTGTTCAATTTAGTCCTGTGGTTCTTCCAAAGGCCTGCTACTAAATGTTTCATTTGAAACTAATTCCAAATGCTACTGAATTGAATTTGTCTCAGCAAACATATTATTTAATATATAAGTATTTTGCTTAATTTCCAAAAGATTATAGATGTATGTGATTTAGCACTAAATGATTCAGTCCTCATGTTGCTGATAGATGGTGTTTAAATCTCAGAGCCTTTCTACAAAATACACAACGCTTAATCATAGCTTTTCTATGGACAAAGTCCTGTAAAATAAGAGGGGGCTCTTGAAAATAGACTTACCATATTATATTGTATTAGTTACTTAACTACATCATTGCTGAAGAGGGAGGAACTTCAGAGGGGCCATAGAAAATGACAAAAACAGTGATTTTGGTGTTAAATTTTTTGTAATATTCCAAGCTTTTATTATTTTTTTAAATGGTTTGAGATTTGCATAATAAAAAAATCACTTTTTTAATCTTCTTAAAAATATTGGAGTCTTCCTCATTTTTTTCCTCTGGCTATTCTTCCTAGAGGAAAATAAAAACTTGAGACAGAAGCTATGACCCAGATTCGCACTCTAAGCTTCCAGAATTCAACTTCTTTCTGCTTTCTTTGTAAGCTGTCAAATTCACAGCTGAAGCCTTCGGTGCATGTCTCATTAAAAGTAATTCCGTTTCCACAGAAAGGAGAAAACTCTATATGGAGCTGTGTGTCAATGGGTCGGGTGGATTGGTGAGTTATTTATTTTGCCTGTTTTAGCTCACTAGTCACCAATGATCCTTGATTCTAACTGGATCTAATGACAATGCAGAAATTCTCCCATCACCAGCTGAAGGCAGAAAATCCTCTACAGCGTAGCCAAAACTCTTCATGCTTGACAGCTTTTGCTGAAAAAAAGTCGCTTCTTTGACAGCAGCTCCCTGGCCTGCCACCACCTTCTCCAGTTTGGATCTGTGCTGTCTGGGTTCTGTTGTAGCCAGATTCCCTTTGGAAGGACTTGGTGTCTAAACACAGTACTAAGAGGAGGAACTCACTTTGGATGCAGAAATGAGAAGAAAGAATTAAAATGTAGTGTAATGGCTGTGCTGTCATTGTTGCCAAATTTTGAGCCTCATTTAAGAGTGGGTAACTATGCTGTGTTCAGGCATTAGAGCCTTGGTGACTTTCCTCTATAATTTAGACTTGTGCTGTCCAGTTTAATAGCCACTTGCCACATTGAGATGTTCAGTGTAAAACACAAAATACATTTCAAAGATTTAATACAAAAGAAAGAATGCAAAATATCCCTTTAATATGTGGATTACATGTTAAAATGATAGAAGTTTGGATATATTGGGTTAAATAAAATGCATTATTAAATTTAATATCATTTATTTTTACTCTTTCTTAAAATTACAAATATAGCTAGCATTACATTTCTATTAGACAGTATCACTTAAGGCATGCAAAGAAATTTAGATCCTATACATTTCAGGGTAGAATTCAAACTTCTTAGGATATTTAATGGCATCCAAACTTTTCATGATCTGCTGCTTGACTCTTCTCTCCAGTCTCACTGCCTGCCTTTTCCTGAGGCACAGCACATGCTCCAGCCATAACAAAGGATACGTAGATCAAATACACTAGGCTTTTTTACATCCCTAAATTTCACACAATCTCTCTTATTCCTGGAATACCCTTCTATTTAGCTAATTCCTACCCATCCTTCAAGAGTCAGCTGAAAGTGACAGAATTATCTAAGTTAAGTTTTTATTGTTGTTGTTGTTGTTGCTTTTTCTGAGACAAGGTTTCACTCCTGTCACCAAGGCTGCAGTGCAGTGGTACAATCACGGCTCACTGCAGCCTCAACTTTCCAGGCTCAAGTGATCCTCCCACCTCAGCCTCCTGGTTAGCTGGGACTACAGGCACACAGTACCACACCCAGATAATTTTTGTATTTTTTTTTAGAGACTAAATTTCTCCATGTTGCCCAGGCTGGTCTTGAACTCCTGGGCTCAAGCAATCCCAGGAGGCTTTGGGAAGCCTCAACCTCCCAGAGTGAGTGCTGGGATTACAGGCATGAGCCACCACACCTGGCCCACTGTTCTAAACAGATATCTTCCACTGTACTCTCATTGCTCAACTCCCCTCCAATGTCATAGGATATTGTTTATGTTTTATTGTAATTACGTATTTGTCTTACTCCATAAAAGACTGTGAGATAGTTAAACAAAGGGGTTAATTACACCCTTTATCTCTAGAGCCTAGGCAACCTAAATATTTGTTGAATAAATACATTTTAGGAAATGAACAGCAATTTTTCATAAGTAAATTACTGAGCATCCACTATGAATCATTGTGTATAGCAGCTTCTGTTATTGAAGCTACTCTGCATTCATTGTGATATAAAAGCACTAAGCTGGGCTAAGATAAGATATAGTATCAAGGACAGCACAGCTTAGTCACAAATGCCCTCGACAGAGTGAGGAGGCAGTGATTGAAAATGTATTTGTTTGATTTATCACTTACATGGTTTTTGGGAAATGGCTTACCTTTTTTATGTAAATTTGTCTCCTCAATTACAAAATTATATGTATTCTAAGAAACCTTAGAGAGTAGATTTTTAGACCTGCTCCCTACATTGTTTTGTTATATATATTTTTTTCTTTTTGTGACTAGTTTATTTCACTTAGTAAACTTTATTGTTTTTTGGGGAAATATAGGCATTTTCATAAAAACATTGTTTATGTTAACATGCAGAGTAAATGAATAACAAACACTTAAAAATTCTCAGTTTTAAATTCAAATAGAATAAATGTCAATAGATATATCCACTGCATATTTCTATGGTGACACTAGTTGCATTACTCTGATTATAAAATTTAATGTTTGTCTTTTTACTATATGGTGACTAGTGTGACAACGACTGTGTAGTATTGATATTGTATCTATAGGGAAGATTTTATTTTTTCATTTTTTTTTAAGTTCTGGGACACATGTGCAGGATGTGCAGGTTTGTTACATAGGTAAATCTGTGCCATGGGTATTTGCTGCACCTATCAACTTATCACCTAGGTATTAAGCCCAGCATGCATTAGCTATTTTTCCTGATGCTCTTCCTAATTATCATCAGAGCAAACAGACCATCTACAGAATAGGGAAAAATGTTTACAATCTATCCATCTGACAATGGTCTAATATCCAGAGTCTACCTGAAACTTAAATAAATTTACAAGAAGAAAACAACCCTATTAAAAAGTGGGCAAGGGCCATGAACAAACACTTCTCAAAAGAAAATATTTATGCAGCCAACAAATATATGAAAAAAAGCTCAACATCACGATCATTAGAGAAATGCAAATCAAAACCACAATGAGACACCAATTCATGCCAGTCAGATGGTGATTTTTAAAAAGTAAAGAAATAACAGATGCTGGCGAGGTTGTGGAGAAATGGGAACACATTTACACTGTTGGTGGGAATGTAAATTATTTCAACCATTGTGGAAGATGGTATGGCAATTCCTCAAAGGTCTAGAGTCAGAAATGTCATTTGACCCAGCAATCCCATTACTGAGTATATACCCAAAGGAATATAAATCATTCTATTATAAATATACAAGCATGTGTATGTTCATTGCAGCACTATCCACAATAGTAAAGACATGGAATCAACCCAAATGTCCATCAACGATAGACCAGATTAAAAAAAAATGGTACATATACACCATGGAATATTATGCAGCTATAAAAAATGAATGAGATCATGTCCTTTGCAGGGACATGGACTGAGCTGGAAGTCATTATCCTTAGCAAATGAATTGGGAAACAGAAAACCAAACACCACATGTTCTCACTTATAAGTGGGAGCTGAATGATGAGAACACATGAACACACGGAGGGGAACAACACACTCATATATATTATGTTGACCACATAGACAGTAGAGCTGAAAATAGCCTAAAGAGCATAGAAAACTGTAAAATACTTTAAAAGGAATTATGTTTAATTAGAATTGTCTGATATTTAACTTTAATTTTTTATAGCTTAATTATTGTTTATAGAATTTAATTTTTAATAATGGCTGTGTTTAACAACAGACACTTAAAAATTTAACAATTCTCTTACAATTGCCTAGATGAACTGGTTCCAGCACAACACTGGACTATGCCAATAAAATATCCTAAAATTCTTCTAGTCAATGATCTCTATCATATTTTCAGTTACTCCATGACTTTGAAGGGACCACTGACTTAACTGGCTATAATAGAGACTCTCTTTTTATAAAGATCCAGTACAATAAAGGTGAACGTTTAATGATGTAGAATGGAAAATATTGTTACTTTTGTTTTGCTGTACTAGGAAAAGATCTGTTCATAAAGTATAATTTAAATTTGACCCTGCAGAAGGAGTTGACTTTGGCATTCTAGATGGAGTAAACAGAGCATAGGCAGGTTAAAGTGGGTAGTATGTGGTCAAGATCCAGTCTGCCTACGGTTGAGGCTATACGATGGGAGGGCAAGTAGGCTAAGATTACAAGGGGGAGGCCCAAACTTGATACATAAAGAGGTGCAATAGAAGAGGTTTCCGAAGGCAGGTAACATGAATTAAACTGCAAGTAAGACTACACTGGCAATAATAGGATAAGAGAGTACAGTGGCGCTCCAGAAGGATACAATAGAGTATTATAATGACAGAGTTTAAAATGAACAAAGTTGTATTCTTAAGTATTTTATTCCCTTTGTAGCAATTGTGAATGGGAGTTCACTCATGATTGGGCTCTCTATTTGTCTATTATCGTTGTGTAGGAATGCTTGTGATTTTTGCACATTGATTTTGTATCTTGAGACTTTGCTGAAGTTGCTTATTAGCATAAGGAGATTTCAGGCTGAGATGATAGGGTTTATTAAATACACAATCATGTCAACTGCAAAGAGACAATTTGACTTCCTTTCTTCTTATGTGAATGCCCTTTCTTTCTTTCTCTTGGCTGATTTCCCTGGCCAGAACTTCCAATACTATGTTAAATATGGTGAGAGAGGGCATCCTTGTCTTGTGCAGGACTTCAAAGGGAATGCTGCCAGTTTTTGACCACTCAGTATGATATTGGCTGTGGGTTTGTCATAAATAGCTCTCATTATTTTGAGATACGTTCCATCAATACCTAGTTTATTGAGATTTTTTAGCGTAAAGGGGTGGTGAATTTTATCGAAGGCCTTTTCTGCATCTATTGAGATAGTCATGTGGTTTTTGTCATTGGTTCTATTTATGTGATGGATTACATTTATTGATTTGCATATGTTGAACCAGGCTTACAAGGGATGTGAAGGAACTCTTCAAGGAGAACTACACACCACTGCTCAAAAAAATAAAGAGAGGACACAAATAGAAAAACATTCCATGCTCATGAATAAGAAGAATCAATACTGTGAAAATGGCCATACTGCCCAAAGTAATTTGTAGATTCAATGCTATCCCCATCAAGCTACAGTAACCAAAACAGCATAGTACTCATATCAAAACAAATATATATAGACCAATGGAACAGAACAGAGGCCTCAGAAATAACACCACAAATCTACAACCACCTGATCTTTGACAAACCTGACAAAAACAAGCAATGGGGAAAGGATTCCCTATTTAATAAATGGTGTTGGGAAAACTGGCTAGCCTTAGGCAGAAAACTAAAACTGGATCCCTTCCTTACACATTTTACAAAAATTAATTCAAGATGGATTAAAGACTTAAACTAATACCTAAAACCATAAAAACTCTAGAAGAAAGCCTAGGCAATACCATTCAGGACATACGCATGGGCAAAGACTTCATGACTAAAACACCAAAAGCAATGGCAACCAAAGCCAAAATTGACAAATGGGATCTAATCAAACTAAAGAGCTTCTGCACAGCAAAAGAAATTAGCATCAGAGTGAAAAGGCAACATACAGAATGGGAGAAAAGTTTTGCAATTTATCCATCTGACAAAGGGCTAATATCCAGAATCTACAGGGAACTTAAACAAATTTACAAAAAAAAAAACAACCCCATGAAAAAGTGGGTGAAGGATATGAACAGACATTTCACAAAAGAAGACTTGTATGCAGCCAACAAACATATGAAAAAAGCTCGTAATCACTGGTCGTTAGGGTAATGCAAATCAAAACCACAATGAGATACATCTCAGGCCAGTTAGAATGGTGATTATTAAAAAGTCAGGAAACAACAGAAGCTAGAGAGGATGTGGAGAAATAGGAACACTTTTACACTGTTGATGGAAGTGTAAATTAGTTCAACCATTGTGGAAGACAGTGTGGTGATTTCTCAAGGATCTAGAACCAGAAATACCATTTAATCCAGCAATCCCATTACTGGGTATATACCCAAAGGATTATAAATCATCCTACTATAGAGACACATGCACACATATGTTGCAGCACTATTCACAATATCAAAGACTTGGAACCAATCCAAATGTCCATCAGTGATAGACTGGATAAAGAAAATGTGGCACTTATACACCATGGAATACTATGCAGCCATAAAAAAGGATGAGTTCATGTCCTTTGCAGGGACATGGATGAAGCTGGAAACCATCATTTTCAGCAAACTAACATAGGAACAGAAAACCAAACACTGCATGTTCTCACTCATAAATGGGAGTTGAACAATGAGAACACATAGACACAGGGAGGGGAACACCACACACTGGGGCCTGTCAGGGGATTGGGGTCTAGGGATGGATAGCATTAGGAGAAATACCTAATATAGATGACAGGTTGATGGTTGCAGCAGACTACCATGGCATGTGTATACCTATGTAACAAACCTGCACATTCTGCACATGTATCCCAGAATTTAGAGTATAATAAAAAATAAATACATAAAAATAAAAGCACATAAAATGAACAAAGGCCTGATTTTGGATGTTTACCATGAAATGAAGCATTGACAATATGCAAAGCCACTTTTTAATGTAATTTGGTAGAGTTTGACATTCCCCTGGAATACAAAGTAAATAATGATCTTTGGAATTATGCTATACAATCTTGGCTTTTGTTGCCATTGCTGTTGGTGCTTTAGTCATGAAGTCTTTGCCCATGTATATGTCCTGAATGGTATTGCCTAGGTTTTCTTCTAGAGTTTTTATGGTTTTAGGTATTAGTTTAAGTCTTTAATCCATCATGAATTAATTTTTGTAAAAGGTGTAAGGAAAGGATCCAGTTTTAGTTTTCTGCATAAGGCCAGCCAGTTTTCCCAACACCATTTATTAAATAGGGAATCCTTTCCCCATTGCTTGTTTTTGTCAGGTTTGTCAAAGATCAGGTGGTTGTAGATTTGTGGTGTTATTTCTGAGGCCTCTGTTCTGTTCCACTGGTCTATATATCTGTTTTGATATGAGTACCATGCTGTTTTGGTTACTGTAGCCTTGTCGTACAGCTTGAAGTCAGGTAGTGTGATGCCTCCAGCGTTGTTCTTTTTGCTTAGGATTGTCTTGGGTCTACGGGCTCTTTTTTGGTTCCATATGAAATTTAAAGTAGTTTTTTTTCTAATTCTATGAATAAAGTCAATGGTAGCTTGATGGGAATAGCAATGAATCTACAAATTACTGGCAAAATGTTACTTCATTTGGGGTTGAATATGAGAAAATGCAAGAAGCTTAGTTTAGAGGCTAATGTAGTAAGGAGTCCAGATGAGAAATGACAGTAACTTGAAAGAAAGTGATGAAAGCAAAGACTATATAATATATGGGCTGTTCAGTTTTAGGATGTTTTGTTGTGTCTTTTTTCATAAGAAGTTTATATTAACTTCTTAGTGTCATGTCAGAGCACTGCTGGCTTTTGTTATAGGCAAAACTGTGTCGCATAGCAAATTCCTATGTTGCAATCCTAACCCCAAGTACCTCAGAATGTGACTGTGTTTGTATACAGGGTCTTTAAGAAGGAAACTAAGGCAAAAAAAAATCGTATGTGTGGTCCCTAATCTAGCTGAATGGGGTCCTTATAAGAAGAGATTAAGGAATAGACATGCACATTATCATGTGAAGATGCAAGGAGAAGATGGCATCTACAAGCCAAGGAGACAGATCCTCAGAAGGAACACAGCCTATTAACACCTTGATCTTGGACTTCTAGCCTCTAAAACTATAAGGAAATACATTTCTGTTGTTTATGAACCACTGAGTCTGTGGGTTTGTTGTTATAGTATCTCAAGCTAACTAATATAGTCCTCTGCAGCTGACCAACACTTGCAGTCACAAAAAGTACCCAAATCCTTAGGCTAGATGAAATTAATTGTATTGTCATAGAGATCATGATACTTGGAAAGGGCATTGGCCTTTGCCATATACAGACTGAGTTTGATTCCTGTATCCACAATTTCCTAGATACATGACCTTAGACAAGTTATTTAAATGTCACTGAGCTTCAGTTTCTTTAATCATATCAGATACAGTAGGCCAATCACCAGACCAAAGTCTGGCACAGGATAAACACTCAACAAAATTTAGTTTCTGTCTTAGCTGTCTCATAATTTCTTCTTCTCCTCAGTAGGCAATCATAAAGAACTCTTATGAGAATGGCTCTGAAATTAGATGAAATTTGAACTTCACTTGAATTAATCAAAGCTGATTTCAAATCCTAGCTCTGACATCTGTAGTTTGGATGTTGGAGCAAGTTACCTAATCTCTCTAAGCCTTTGTTTTCTCATCTATAACATTTTCATAAGGTGGTTATGAGGATTAAATGCTATTTTGCATGGAAAGTGCTTATATCAGAGCCTGACATATAAATAAGGCTAGAGTAGTATTTTTAATATTAATTACACACATTTTTATGAGTTCTTATTTTGCTACTAACTTCTTTGTGATTGGTGTTTGTCACAACTATGACACACTCCTGAATGAAAACCATCTATTCTTCATGGTTCACTAACACCTATGGCTCCTAACTTATATTCTCAGTTAGATACCTGGCAAATGTTAATTCAACTATTGCCAAGCATTCTTCCTAGAAATTTAAAACGAAAACTGCTCATTAGATATGCACTGAGTATTCAGTAGTTTTTCCAAAGTAACAACACCTTAGTACTTCTTAAAAACATGGTCCTTGTTCTATTGCTTACGTAGGCACCTCACGAAGCAAATTAGAACAGATATAAACCCTGTAATCAGGGATCTTAATGGCTAAAGTACCTTGATTGGATTCCCCTAGTGTTTTAATAAAATCACTTATGGTCTAATTCTCCTGTCCTCATTTTGCTGCTGATGAAATCCCAGGATAGTACCAAAGTATTGGCTTTTTTCAACTCTGCTGCACTAATGTCTGCTGTTTTCCTTCCGCACGAATCCTTTAATCATACCTTTGGGATACTAAAATGTAAAAACCATTTGGGATTACCTAACACATAGGAATAGCAAGTTTTGCTCTGAAGCAGATGGAAGCAGCCAATGTGGCTCCTTTTTTTCCTTTAATCTCAAGATAGCTGTAATTCTGCCCAAGCCTCCAGGGGACACTTCTGGCTGAGAAAAATCCTGGAAATGGAAGTCCTATCTATTCCTATTTCACTGAAAGGATGAATCAGTTTTAGAAACATTTCAAGGACTCAGGATTACACTGGGTCATGCGCTCATGAAATTGTGTAGGTAGCTATGGAAAAAGGAAATAATCATGGATGTGCTTTAAGTTTAATTAAAAACTCGTTATTATTGACACAAAAATGGTACCTGTCCAGTTTCCAAGAACTCCAGCAGTGCAATGACTGTTCATAATCCCTTTTCCTGGAAATAGATCCCTGTTTCTCTGTTTATTTGATGTGTGCACATGATCCACTTTACTTAATAAATTGTAAGGCATAAATTTTTAAAAGTGTTATAATAATTTATATTAATAAAGTATAAGTACAATTTTATTTTAGATTTATAACTCTTCAACCCCCTAACCTCAATTATTGGCTTAAAGGACTGAGATGTTACCTAAACTGCTCATCGGGCCTTTTGCTTACGTTTTTCAAACTCAAGCTAATAGAGAATCACTTTATTCCTTGAAAAATATTTTTATTCTCTTCAAAAATATGAGCCAACAGCAGTCATTAGCCATGGTTCCAACTTCATGAAGAAATGAAAAGAGAGAAGAATGCCTCTACAAAAAAGAGGGGAAATTAATAGGTGTAAGGAGGTGAATCTGTCAGTATAAAATCCCTGGTTATATTTTTTTAGTGGCCCCTACTATATCCCTGTTTTTTCACAATTACATAAACCAGTAGATTCTTTTTGCTTGATTTTAATTTCCATAACTTACAGTGATAGCATCCTGTCTTTCTAATAGAAGTAAGAAAAAATATAAGGGAAGAAATAATTCTAGGGAGAGGTTAGAACTTTAGGCCACAAAGAAAGGGTAGAAAGGAAGAAATACTTCACTATATGAGAGGATATTCTAGATATGGGACAGAGCTTTATAGGGAGTGGAGTGACAGATAGGATATAAATTATGTTTTTGGTTGTCATTAGATTTTTCTGAGTCATAGGGCCCATATGTGTGAACAATGGGAGAAAGCACTAAAATAAAGAGAAGTCCCCAAGTCAGACAGAGTTGCAACCTAGTAATACACTAGGCAATGCAGACAGTTTATATCTCAAGCATGAAAGTTATAGAATGAAAATAATATTTAAAAATATTTTTTTGGCAATGGTTCATAAGGGTGACTGGAGGCAAAAATGGTGTGTGAGAGAGATCCATTGAGAAGCTACTGAAAAAAATCCAATTGTGAAATGACAAGAACTTTAAATAGGTCACAGACAACAGAAAGCAAAGAAAGAGTTAATCATAAAGCCACTTCTACAAAGAAATCATGGTGTTTGGTACCATATTTTGTCTAGGGCTAAGTAATACATAAAAAAAAAAAAAGAGTTAAGAATGATTTCATAGTTTGTAGTCTGATAGACCAACTAACAGATAGGATAGCCAGGCAGTAGAAGCTGATGTTTGACAGGGAATGTTGTGTTCCATTGTGGACACATGGATTACCACAAGGAATCTACAAAATGACATTTTGGACTCAAAAATTAACCTAATAATGGAGCTCTCATGAGAGGTCTGGGCAGTGGGGGATGTGGGTGTACGTGTAAAAATGAGAGGTAAAGCCAAGAAACGGAGTGAAGAGAAAGAACAGAGAGCTTACGCCAGAGCTTTTGCTCAGAATTAAATAAATGATTAAAGGGAAGAAAGGTTGTTTGAAAATAATAATAATAATAGATTGAATGCTCCCACCTAATACAAAGAAATGCTAAATATTTGGATGATGGATATGCTAAATTAGTGTGATGTGACCACTATACATTATATGTACTGAAAACACCACTACGTACTCCATGAATATGTACAATTATTATTGTCAATTAAAAATAAAATTTAAAAATGTTGAAAAAATATATCAATGACATCTAACATTATTGAGAGTTAGAGTTGGGTAAGCTTTTATGCACATAATCTCAATGATGTTCAAAACAACCCAGTGAGACTGGAATGAAATATTATTCTCATTTCCCAGATGAAGAAACTGCAGCAGAGAGATTAAACAACTTACTCAAGGTCAAATAACTATTAAAGGGACACAAAATAAGAACTTAAAATCAGTTCTAATATCAAAGCTTAGGTATTTATATGCAATCTTGTTCAACCTACTGCAGGAAAGAAAAGTGGTCACTGGAAATAGAGGAGACCTACATGCATCTAAGAAAGACGATGATTCCAGAATGGAAAGGTGCCCTATAGTGTTAAATGCCATAATGCAAATAAAGATAACTAGGACTGAAAGAAGGCAGCAAGACATGGTGGTTAGTGAACCATTGTCTTAGTGAAGCATTGTCTTAGTGAAGCAATAGAGCATAAATCAGACTTGAGTGCAAAGTTAGGATGAAGAATAGGAGGTAAAAAGAATATTTATGGAATGCAAATTCTAGTATATGGAAATGAAAGAAAGGAGAGAATCCATCTAAGTCAGGTAAATCCACATTAGCAAGGAAGACCCTAGCATATTAAGGAAGATTTTATTCATGTGATATTTTCATTCTTCAGAGTTATATAAAATACTATGTGTACTGAAAAGGAATTTATAGGTGTTGAAAAAATTGCTGTAATTTCAAACTACATAACTTATTAAAGTTATTTACTAGACTCTTAAATATCTTGTAATCCCATAACAAAAAGGAGATAACAGGATAGAAATAATTATACCCTATAAACAGATGAAAAAAAAAGTTCAATAGAATTCATTAACATACTGAAGGTCACAAAATTAATAAATGTTAGGAAAAAAACAGGCTGCTGAATTTTATCAAGCACTGT